>NC_000003.12:166735877-166887392 GCF_000001405.40 Homo sapiens | reverse complement strand
GGGTGGGTAATTGGTGCATTTCTGGTTGTAGGAAGCATAGTTGTATTATGTTAGGCACAATTATGACCTTATTATTGGCTTTATTGTCTTTATTTGAAGATTATGTATGATCTCAGGACATGTGTATGGGTTCAAGTTTGACAAGGGGTGGACTTGTGATGGTTAATACTGAGTGTCAACTTGATAGGATTGAAGAATACAAAGTATTGATCCTGGGTGTGTCTGTGAGGGTCTTTCCAAAGGAAATTAACATTTGAGTCAGTGGGCTGCGAAAGGCAGACCCACCCTTAATCTGGGTGGGCACAATCTAAACAGCTGCCAGCGTGTCTAGAATATAAGCAAGCAGAAAAATGTGGAAAGAGAGACTGGCCTAGTCTCCCAGCCTCCATCTTTCTCCCATGCTGTATGCTTCCTGCCCTCGAACATCGGACTCCAGGTTCTTCAGTTTTGGAGCTCAAACTGGCTCTCCTTGCTCCTTAGACTGCAGATGGCCTATTGTGGGACCTTGTGATCAAGTGAGTTAATACTTAATAAACTCCCCTTTATATATTCCATTAGTTCTGTCCCTCTAGAGAACTCTGACTAATACAGTGTCATTATACAAAATTCATTATAGTACTTTTTTGTTTTTGTTTTTAGCTAGTTTGGGTAGGAATTGCTGTCAGTTACAATCAAAACAACGCTGATATAATACAATAGTCTTGATATTAATTGTAAGTTAAATGCACAAACTTGCAAAAAATGTACTGCATCTAGCTTTACAATGACTTTAATGAAGCATATGTTTTCAGAGAATCTATTTTTTTAATTTTTAATCTTTAATTTTTGTGGGTACATAGAAGGTATATATATTGATGGAACACACGAGATATTTAGATACAGACATACAATATGTGATAACCACATTAGAGTAAATGGGGTATCCTTCACCTCAAGCATTTATTCTTTCTTTGTATTACAAACAATCCAATTATATACTTTTAGTTATTTTTAAAATGAACAACAAATTATTGTTGGCTGTACTTACCCTGTTGTAATTTCAAATACTAGATCTTATTTACTCTATCTAACTATATTTTTGTACCCATGAGCCATCCCCATATCCCTCTCTCCCCACTACCCTTCCCAGCCTCTAGTAACCATTGTTCTACTCTCAATCTTTGTGAGTTCAAGTGTTTTAATTTTTAGGTCCCACAAATAAGTGAGAACATGCATAGTTTGTGTTTCTGTGCCTGGCTTATTTCACTTAACATAATTACCTCCAGTTCTATCAATGTTGTTACAAATGACAGGATCTCATTGTTTTTTAACTGGATAAATAGTAATCCATTGTGTACATGCACCACATTTCCTTTTTATTATTATTTTTTAATTTCAATAGCTTTTGGGGTACAAGTGGTTTTTGGTTACATGAATGAATTATATGGTGGCAAATTCTGAGATTTTAAGGCATCCATCACTCATTTGGGTACATGTTGTACCCAAAATGTAGTTTTTTATCCCACATTCCACCCTACCCATTGTGAGCTTCCAAAATCCATTATATTACTCTGTGTGCCTTTGCATATTTATAGTTTAACTCTCTAAGTGAGAACATATGATGTTTGATTTTCCGTTCCTGAGTTACTTCACTTGAAATAATAGCCTCCAGCTCCATCCAAGTTGCTGAAAAATACATTATTTCATTCCTGTTTATGGATGAGAAGCATTGTGTAGTGCATATATATCACATTTTAAAAATCCACTTATTGGTTTATGGGTTTTCAGATTAGTTCCAATCTTTGCAATTGTGAACTGGGCTGCAATAAACATACACGTGCATGTGTCTTTTTCATATAACTCCTTTTATTTTGGGTAGATACCCAGTAGTGGGATTGCTGAATCAAATGGTAGGTCTACTTTTAGTTTTTTAAGGAATTGCCATACTGTTTTCCATAGAAGTTGTACTAATTTACATTCCCTCCAGCAGTGTGTAAGCATTCTCCTTTCACCACATCCACAAAAACATCTATTTTGTTTTTACCTTTTAATAATGGACATTCCTACAGGAGTAAGGTGGTATCTCATTGTGGTTTTGATTTGCATTTCCCTGATGATTAATAATGGTGAACTTTTAAAACATATTTATTGGCCATTTGTACATCTTTTGGGAAATGTCTATTCATGTCATTCTCCAACTTTTTGATGGGATTATTATTTTTTTTCTTGCAGATTTGTCTGAATTCCTTGTAGATTCTTTATACTAGCCCTTTGTTGAATGCATTTCTCCCATTCTGTGCATCCTTGTCTTGTTCCAGTTCTCAGGGGCAATGCTTTCAACTCTTTCCATTCAGTATGATGTTGGTTGAGGGTTTTTCATATTTTGAGGTAAGTTCCTTCTATGACTAGTTTGTTGAGGGTTTTTGTCATTAAATGATGCTGGATTTTATTGAATGCATTTTCTGCATCTATCGAAATGATCATATGGTTTTAGTTTTTAATTCTGTTTATAGGTGTATCACATTTATGACTTGCATATGTTAAATCA
Source organism: Homo sapiens (assembly GCF_000001405.40). Classification (NCBI taxonomy): domain Eukaryota; kingdom Metazoa; phylum Chordata; class Mammalia; order Primates; family Hominidae; genus Homo; species Homo sapiens. The sequence goes on along the minus strand of NC_000003.12, from coordinate 166,884,865 downwards.
TCCCTGCATCCCTAAGATGAAACCCACTTAATCATGGTGGATTACTTTATTGATATGCTGTTGGATTTGGTTAGCTAGTATTTTGTTGAGGACTTTCGCATCTAAGTTTATCAGGAATATTTGTCTGTAGGTTTTTTTTAATTTCTTTTGTTATGGCCTTTCCTTGTTTTGGTATCAGGATGTTACTGGCTTCATAGAACAATTCAGAGAGGATTCCCTCTTTCTCAATATTTTGGAAGAATTTCAGTAGGATTGGTACCAATTCATCTTTGAACGTCTGGTAGAATTCAGCTGTGACTCCATCTAGCCCTAGGCTTTTTTGTTATTGGCAATTTTAAAATTACTGATTGAACCTCGCTGTTTGTTACTGGTCAGTTCAGGGTTTCAATTTCTTCCTTATTTAATCTTGGAGGGTTGATGTTACCAAGTATTTATCCATTTCCTAGGTTTTCTAGATTGTGTGCATAAAAGTGTTTATAGTAGTCTTGAATGATCTTTTATACTTCTCTAGTGTCAGTTGTAACGTTTCTAATTAAGCATATTTGAATCTTCTCTCTTTTCTTGGTTAATCTAGCTAATGTTCTGTCAATTTCATTTATGTTTTCAAATAACCAACTTTTCTTGCATTTTTTGTTTCAATTTCATTTAGTTCTGCTGTAATCTTTCTTATTTCTTTTATTCTGGTAACTTTGGCTTCAATTTGTTCTTGTTTTTGTGATTCTCGAGGTATGATATTAGGTTGTTAATTTGTGATCTTTCAAATTTTTGATGTAGGTATATAACACTATAAAATTCCCTCTTAGCAATGCTCTTGCTGTATCCAGAAGTTTTGATAAATTGTGTCACTGTTATTATTCATTTCAAATAATATTTCAATATACATATTGATTTCATTGCTATCCCAAAATCATTCAGAAGCATACTGTTTAATTTCCATGTATTTATATAGTTTTAGGGGTTTCTTTTGGAGTTGATTTTTAGTTTTAGTCCACTGTGATGTGAGAAGACACTTGACATGTTTTTTATTTTTTTAATTTATAGAGACTTGTCTTGTGGCCTATGATATGGTATATCTTGGAGAATGTTTCATGTGCTGATGAGAAGAATGAATTTTCTGCAGTTCTTGGGTTGAATGTTCTGTAAATGTCTATTAGGTCCATTTGTTCTCGAGTGTAGTTTAAGTTCATTGTTTCTTTGTTGACTTTCTGTCTGGATGACCTGTCTAGTACTGTTAATGGAGTATTGAATTTTCCCAGTATTATTGTCTTGGTGTCTTATTTCTTGAGTAAAGGCGTAACTGTTTTATGAATCTGGGAACTCCTGTGTTAGGTGCATGTAAGTTTAGAATTTAATTAATATATTCTTGTTAGATTGATTATTTTATCATTATACAATAACCTTCTTTGACTTTTTTACTGTTGTTGCTTTAAAGTCCTTTTTATTTGATATGAGAATAGTTACTCCTACTTGCTTTTGGTTTTAATTTGTATGAAATATCTTTCTACCCCTTTATCTTAAATTTATATGAATACTTATGTGTTAGGTCAGTCTCTTGAACACAACAGATACTTGGTATCTGATTTTTTTTAATCCATTTTTCCAAACTGTATCTTTTAAGTGAAGCATTTAAGCCATTCACATTTAAAATTAATACTGAAATGTGAAGTACTATTCTAGTCATCATGTTAATTGTTACCTAGTTAACTTCATTTTTTAATATTGTGTTACTATTTCATAGGTCCTGTGCGTTTTATGCGTTAAAGAGATTCTATTCTGGTGCATATAGGACTTTTGCTTCAAGATTTATGACTCATTTTAACATTTCTTATATGGCTACTCTGGTAGTAATAAATTCCTTCACATGTGTTTGTCTGAAAATGACTTAATTTCCCCTTCATTTATGAAAGTTAATTTTACTAAATACAAAAATTTTGACTGACAGTTATTTGTCTAAGGAGGCTAAAGATAGATCCCCAGTTCCTTCTGGCTTGTAAGGTTTCTGCTAAAAAGTCTGCTGTTAGTCTGATAGGTTTTCATTTATAGTTTGCCTAATGGTTTTGTCTCATTTGTTCTTAGAATGCTTTCCTTAATGTTGCTGTTAGATAGCCTAATGACTATATGCTTTGGTGATGAACTTTTTGCAATGAATCTCCCAGGAGTTTTTTGAGCTTCTTGTATTTGGCTATCTAAAACTCTAGCAAGGCCAGGGAAGTTTTCTTTATTTCCTAAAATAAATTTTCCAAACTATTTGCTTTCTCTTCTCTCTCAGGAACACCAATTATTTTTAAGTTTGGCCATTTTATGTAATTCTGCATTTCTTGGAGATGTTGCACATTTCTTTTGATTCAATTTTCTCCCCATTCAATGTGATACTAGCTGTTGATCTTTCATATAGGACTTTTGTTATGTTGAGGTATGTTCCTTTGATATCCAGTTTTTTGAGATTTCTTTTTTTTTAAGGAAAAGAGGAAGTCAAATTTTCCCTGTTTGCAGTTGACATGATTGTATATCTAGAAAACCCCATCGTCTCAGCCCAAAATCTCCTTAAGCTGATAGGCAACTTCAGCAAAGTCTCAGGATACAAAATCAATGTGGAAAAATCACAAGCATTCTTATACACCAATAACAGACAAACAGAGAGCCAAATCATGAGTGAACTCCCATTCACAATTGCTTCAAAGAGAATAAAATACCTAGGAATCCAACTTACAAGGGATGTGAAGGACCTCTTCAAGGAGAACTACAAACCACTGCTCAAGGAAATAAAAGAGGATACGAACAAATGGAAGAACATTCCACACTCATGGGTAGGAAGAATCAATATCATGAAAATGGCCATACTGCCCAAGGTAATTTATAGATTCAATGCCATTTCCATCAAGCTACCAATGATTTTCTTCACAGAATTGGAAAAAACTACTTTAAAGTTCATATGGAACAAAAAAAGAGCCCGCATTACCAAGTCAATCCTAAGCCAAAAGAACAAAGCTGGAGGCATCACGCTACCTGATTTCAAATTATACTACAATGCTACAGTAACCAAAACAGCATGGTACTGGTACCAAAACAGAGATATAGACCAATGGAACAGAACAGAGCCCTCAGAAATAATGCTGCATATCTACAACTATCTGATCTTTGACAAACCTGAGAAAAACAAGAAATGGGGAAAGGATTCCCTATTTGGTGCTGGAAAAACTGGTTAGCCATATGTAGAAAGCTGAAACTGGAACACTTCCTTACACCTTATACAAAAATTAATTCAAGATGAATTAAAGACTTAAACATCAGACCTAAAACCATGAAAACCCTAGAAAAAAACCTAGGCAATACCATTCAGGACAAATCTTATCAACATATGACATTTCTTTGGTGCCCAAAACCTTGTCTAAACATGTGAGCAGCCTCTATTCCCTTTATTCTAATTTGTGACATACAAATTGACCCTTCCTATTACTACTCTGACAAACACCTCTGTTTTTTAAAAAAGCCTTTATCTTGTTAAAGTGATTTAGCTCTTATGTTTCCCATCAACTCAGTTTTGTTTTTTGGTGTATGAAACAAACAAGTAACCCTTGCCATCTCCTTCCTATTATCCTGTAAGGAGGTCTTAGCTTCCAAAGAAAAAGTCATACATTTGAAATTGCAGTGAAGTGTACTATCTTATGCTATCCTCACAGTAGACATTAGACATCCTTACATTGGCCCAGCATTATAGTTTATTTGTGGTGAAATTGGGACTAGGATATGGGCCTTCTGAGTCTTGAAATGTTCACTTTCTCACTGTTCACCAGTAACCTAGAAACCTTATAAGGAATCCATTGCATCCCCCAGGATTAACTAAAAATTAAATTGCACACAAAAATAAGGGACATAAAAAACAAACCAATGGGTGTGTATGTGTGTGTGTAATACACATGTTGGCTTGTTTTTTATATATACATATCTTTTGCAGGGACACAGTACAACTCATAATTTTTGAATCCTTGAAAACTTTATATATATATAAAATATATTTACATATACATTATATATATGTATATATGTATGTATATAAATGTCAGTTTCATTTGAAACTTAGCAGCTGTAATTAGAGGGGTGTGCACATTCCTCTTTATCTCTTTCTCCTCGTGCTAGCTGAACATGATGAGAAGAGTTATTATTAAACAAATAATTTTTAAAGACAGTTTATTATATATGTATGTATATATAAATAGTTTATATAAATATATATTATATATTTACATGTAAAAATATATTAAGTATATATTATATATTTACATATAAATATATATTATATATTTACATATAAATATATTAAATATATATTATATATTTACATATAAATATATTAAATATATATTATATATTTACATATAAATATATTAAATATATATTATATATTTACATATAAATATATTAAATATATATTATATATTTACATATAAATATATTAAATATATATTATATATTTACATATAAATATATTAAATATATATTATATATTTACATATAAATATATTAAATATATATTATATATTTACATATAAATATATATTATATATTTACATATAAATATATATTATATATTTATACAAACCAATGGGTGTGTATGTGTGTGTGTAATACACATGTTGGCTTGTTTTTTATATATACATATCTTTTGCAGGGACACAGTACAACTCATAATGTACCCATTGGTTTGTACATGTAAATATATAATATATATTTACATATATATAGATATGTATTATATATACATATATAAATATATATTATATATACTTATATAATACATATTACATATATTTAATATAAACAAAATGTATAATTAATATAAATACATATACATTTTTCAAGGATGCAAATATTATGAGTTGCATTTTGTCCCTGCAAACGGTATTTTGATTTCTAACCCGTAGTACCTCAGAATGTGATCTCTGGAAACAGAGTCTTTGCAGATGTAATCAAGTTAAGATGACATCATTAGGATATGACTAGTGTCCTTTTAAGAAAAGGACAGAGACACATAGGGAGAACTCTGTAACTGGTGATGGAGGCAGAGATGATACAGCTACAAACCAAAGAATGTCAAGGATGACAACCCACAAGGATTGATGACAACCCACAGTAACTGGGAAAAGGCAAGAAAGAATTCTTCCCAGTGTCTCAGAGAGCATGATCCTACTAACATCTTGATTTCCAGACTTGTAGCCTCCAGAACTGTGAGAAAAAAAAACACTAGGTTTTTATTAGCCACCCAGATTGTGGTACTTTGTTACCTCAGCCATAAGAAAGTAATACACCAGAGCAGGACTAATAAGAATATCAGTGAATCTGTGTATTTCCTTATTACTGTATACTTTAGGACTAGCATTTTTATTGTTATAGCCAAGTGAATGATGATCTTTTATTTATTATTTATTTTCACCTAGAGATGTTTTCTCTGAGTCTATTATCCCACATAAGATCATCGTAGTTGCTACCGCGGGACCAGGTAGGGAAAGGGTTCATTTGCTAGCGATGCTATGAAGAATCAGGGAAATTTGCCTAAATACACCCATGAATGCAAACAACAAAAAAAAAATAATAATAATACAATGGAAACTCCTCAAATATGAAAAGAGTATATTTTGTGTGTGTGTGCTTAGTACTCTCATTATATCTAATGCTATTCAGACCAACGCCTTACTCTTCAAGTCAGAATATTGAAGATAATCAATTTTAAAAAATCAATAATTATAATTCGTTTTGATTCAAGGACATTATTTCCTATGCCTGATAGCTTTTTCTTTTGCTTACTAGAAATCCAAGTCTCATGTGTCAGTGATACAAATGATTCTTTTCTTTCTATTTTGTCACAATTCGCCTTTGTTCATAAACTGATTCATGTGTTACTTCAATTACATTTTTAAACTTATGAGATAGTTTTCGTTATCCATATTTTCTTAGTCACATAACTAAGCCTCTGAAACGTTAAAAGTAAGAAATTAGGGAAAAGAACATTTGAATACAGATATTTTAAGTCTAAATCTGGTAAGTTTTTCTCACTTTAATGTATCTATTTTTATTTTATAATAAAATAAATGATCAAACCACTCATCATATTTTTTAATGTGATAGGGAGTATAGATTTTAAGATTTAAGATTTAAAATAAAATATTTATTTATTTATTTTTTGCATTTGAATGTCTATGCCTATAAATGTATAATTAATACATCAATTATTTTTACCTATTATGTTAATTTAATATTTTTATTTATTTGAAAAGGAGATAGGCAATTTGAGAATATAAACAATTTGAGTATCTAGTTTGTTGCAAATAATTCTTGCTCTTAGTTTATATCATTGGGACACATGAATTTTTATTTCTCTTAAAATATATATGAATTTGTCAAATTATCATTTTATGTCTGTCTTCAAATAAACAGTGCAGTACATTAAAAAAATTTTAGTGATTCACGGATACCTTGGAAAATGAGACATGTTGCTTGTACACACAAAATATTTTAAACATGCCTTTGCCATTTTTGTTTCCTTTCTCCACTGTGAATTCTCATTTTCTTAGGCTGTAACCCAAAACTACATTTTCCAGCATCCCTTGCAACTGATTGGATAGGGAACTTTAAGCCAATCTACCTTCTCAGAATTAAGAAGAATGATGTAAAGGATGAGTGAGGCTTAATGGCTCTTCTGGCAGAGATACTCATGTAGTCATTTGATTTTCTCTGCAGTAGCTTGGCAAAGATTGTGGGATCTGTGGCTATAGGGGTGTCAAGAGGGATTTCTCCTGGAACAGTATTATGGAATGATTGGACATTTCTCCTGGCTACAAAACTTTTGATTGACTACATGACTCCACATGCATTAAAAATTACATTAGCTAAATAATACCTTGAAATAAACCTATTTCTGCTTTAATTGTCTAAATTCATCTGCAAATAAATCCCAGTTAATACCAAAAATCTCATAAAATATGGATTCTCTTCTCAGAAAATAGGCAAATATGTATGTTGTAGCAGATACCATTTTCTTAATAATATTTTCTAATATCCCTGTTTCCTTAAGCAATACAAGTTGCAGTTTTTAACTAAATAGTAGTTATTCAGTCTAGAATAAAATACTGTTTCTCAATTTCCCTTAGAGTTAAGAATGTCTCCATCATAAATTTTGACCAAAGTATGTAACTGTCAGTTTCATTTGAAGCTTAGTAGCTGAAATTAGAGGGGTGTGCACATTCCTCTTTATCTCTTTCTCCTCTTGCTAGCCGTACACACCAGAAGAGTTATTATTAGACAAATAATTTTTTAAAGACAGTTTTTGAAAGGTTAGAAATGATTAAGTTAAAGAGGTACATTTGAATAGATGATGATTTAAAATCATTTTAATGAAAATAAATAAACTCTATGAACCCACTGGAAATATTTATTTCTTGATAATTTGACACAGAATACTGACAAACTTGTTGATGATGGTTGTGAATTCAATTTCAAATTAGTCACGGCACCAGTAAATTTGAAACACCCTAAAGTCTAACGAAGTTATATAAAACAAACTAATAATTGCATTCCAAATTTGATTCTAAAACCTTACATAACATCACTCTTAACAAGTTACAAATTTGAAATGAACATTATATATTAGTAAGGATATTAAATATATGATTAATGATAGTAAAGATTAAATTATTTTTAATCAACTGAATAGAAAATTAATATTATCCAACTACCCTCATATGAAGATGTCATCAAAGGGAATATTGCCAAAAACATAAAGGGAAGAGGGTTTCTGAAATTGAGAGATAAAATTGCATATTTACTATGTACCACACATTATTTTAAATGATTTATACATGAACTATTTCACATGGTCATCATTTTTGTAGTAATAATACTTTAAGTCCACTCTCTTAGCATTTTTCAGTAATACAATATATTGTTAACTATGTAGTATAACCATGTTGTACATCAAATCTCTTGAACTTATTCTTCCTATCAAACTTAAATTTTGTACCCTTTGAGTAACATCTCCCCAATGCAATCCCCCCTCCCAGCAGCCACCCCACCTCCTGGTGGCAACCATTCTAATCTGTCCATCTGTGAACTCTATTTTTTTGGATTACACCTATAATTGAGATAAGGCAGTATTTGTCTTTCTGTGCCTGGCTTATTTCATTTAACATAATGTCTTGCAGATTCATCTATATAGTCATATGTGACTGGACTCCCTTCTTTTTTAAAGCTGGACAGTATTCCATTGTATATATATATCACATTTTTTAAATCCATTCATCCCTTCATGGGCCCTTAAGTTGATTCCATATCTCAACTACTGTGAATAATGCTGCAATAAGCATAGGAGTGCAAATTTTTTTTTGGAAATATAGATTTCATGTTTAAAACTACTGTACATATCCTGTAGTGGGATTGCTGGATCATATGGTAGTTCTATTTTAATTTTCTTGTGAAACTTCGATACTGTTTTCCATAAAGGTTGCATTAATTTACATTCCCACCAACAGTCTGTGAGGGTTTGGTTTTCGCCACATCCTTGCTAACACTTACTATCTTTCATCTTTTTGATAATAGAAATTCCAATAGGTGTAAGGTGATATCTCATTGTGGTTTTAATTAGCATTTTTCTGATGATTAGTGATGTTGAATATTTTTTATATGCCTACTGGCCATATATATGTCTTTTTTTGAAAAAAATGGTATTTACGTCCTTTGCTTGTTTTTAAATTGGGTTGTTTTCCTGCTATTTCATTATTTGTATTTCTTATATATTTTGGATATGAACTCCTTATCAGATGTAAGGTTTGAAAATATTTCCACGTTTTATAAGTTGTGTTTTCGTCCAGTTGATTGTCTGCTTTACTGTGTGGAAAATTTTGCTAATATAATATCATTTGTCTACTTTTGCTTTTGTTAACTCTGCTTTTGGGGTCATATCCAATAAATCATTATATAAACCAATGACCTGAAGAATTTGCTTATTTTGTCTTCTAGTTTCTTCTTCTAGGAGTTTCATAGTGTTGAGTCTTACATTTAACTCTTGTAACTGTTTTGAGATGATTTTTGTCTATGATGTAAGATAAGTGTTTAATCTTATTCATCTGCACATAGATATCCATCCATTTTCCCAACATCATTTATTAAAGAGACTGTCCTTTTCCCGTTGTAGTTTCTTGCAGACTTTGTCAAAGATCAACTGACTGTAAATGTGTAGATTTATTTCTGAGAACTCTTTTCTGTTCCTTTGGTCTATGTGTCTGGTTTTATGGCAGTGTTATGCTGTTTTGGTTACTATGACTTTGTCATATATTTTGAAGTCAAGTAATGTGATGCCTCCAGGTTTCTTCTTTCCTCTCAAAATTGCTTTGATTATTATCCAGAGTTTTCAGTAGTTTCATACAGACTTTAGAATTTTTTCTCTTTTTTTGTGAAAAATGTCATTGTTATTTTAATAGGGATTATGTTTCTTCTATAGATCAGCTTGAGTGGTATGAACATTTTAACAAATCTAATTATTCATACTTATAAATATGTCTTTTTATTCATCTGTGTCTTCTTTAATTTCTTTCACCACTGTCTTATGGTTTTCAATGTAGAGATCTTTACTTGTTGGTTAAATTTATTCCTAGGTATTTTATCTTTTACAGCTATTTTAAATGGGGGTATTTTCTTAATTTCTTTTTCAGATGGCTCACTATATAGTGTATAGAAATGCTACTAATTTTGAATGTGGATTTTTGTATCATGCAACATTACTACATTTGCTTATTTTTTCTAATGATTTTCTTAGGTGGAGTTGCTAAAATACTTTATATATAAGATCATGTCATCTGCACATAGGGACAATTTAACTTTTTCCTTTTTAATTTGAATGTTTTTTTCTAGTCTAATTTATTTGGCTTGAATATTCAGGACTATACTGAATAGAAGTGATAATTGTGGGCCCCTTGTCTTGTTTCTAATCTTAGAGGAAAAGCTGTCAACTTTTTCTCATTGATTATGTGAGCTGTGCACTTGTTATACCTGATCTTTAATGTGCTGAAGTACATACTTTCTATCTCTAATGTGTTGAGAGATTTTATAAAAAGATATTGAGTTGTGTCAAATCTTTATTTATTGAAATATGATTTTTGTCTTTCATTCTGTTTATGTGATATATCTTGCTTATTGATTTACGTATGTTGAACTGTTCTTGCATCCCTTAAAGAAAACCCACTTGATCATATTAAATCATCTTTTTAATGTACTGTTGGATTTGATCTGTTAGTATTCTTTCAAGGATTTCTGCATGTATGCTTATCTGGGACATAGGCTTGTTATTTTCTTTTTTTGTAGTGTCCTTGTCTGGCTTGGAATCAGAGTGATTCTGGCCTTGTAAAATGAGTTTGAAATAATTATGTTCTTTTTAATTTTCTGAAAGAGTTTAAGAAGAATTGGTATTAGTTATTTTTTAATGTTTAAATTCATCAGTGAAGTCATCAAGACTTGTGCTTTTCCTTGATGGCATAATTTTTATTATTATTTTAATCCCTTTACTCACTATGAGTTGGTTAAGATTTTCTATTTCTTTATAATTCAGCCTTGGTAAGTTATATATATCAAGGAATTTATCTCTGTCTTCTAGGTTATTCAATTTGTTGTTGTAAAATTTTTTGTAAGTCTTTTATGATCATATTATTTCTGTTGTATCAGTGTTAATGTCTTCTTTTTAATTTCTGATTGTATTTGAGTTTGCTCCATGTTTTACTTATTTTATTTAAATGTTCATTGACTTTATCAATGTATTAGTATATTCTTGCATTGCTATAATGAAATACCTGATACTGGGTAATTTACAAAGAAAAGAGATTTAATTGGTTCATAGTTCCACAGGGTATACAGGAAGCATGATGCTAGCATCTCCTTGGCCCCTCAGGAGGCCTTAGAAAACTTATGATCATGGCGAAAGGCAAAGGGGGAGTGAGCACCTCACAGGGCCAAAGCAGGAGGAAGAGAGAGGAAGTGCCACACACCTTTAAACAACCAAATCTCACGAGAACTCACTGTATGACAGCACCAAGGAGGATGGTGTGGAACCATGAGAAACTGCCCCCATGATCCAATTACCTTCCACTAGGTCCTGCCTCCAACATTAGGGATACAATTGAACATAAAATTTAGGGGGGAAATAGATCCAAACTATATCATTTCACCCCTGGCCACTCCCAAATTTTATGTTTTTCTCACATTGCAAAATACAACCTTCCCAACAGTCCCCCAGCATCTTAACTCATTCTAGCATTAACTCAAGTCCAAAGTCTCATTTGAGTCAAAGGCAAGTCCCTTCTACCTATGAGTCTTTAAAATCAAATATAAGTTAGTTACTACCAAGATACAATTGGTAGAAAAGCATTGGTAAATACTCCCACTCCAAAAGGGAGAAATCAGCTAAAAGAATGAGGCAATAGGCCACGTGAAAATTCAAAACCCAGATGGGCGGTCATTAAACATTAAAGCTCTGAAATAATCTCTTTTGATTCCATGTCTCATATCCAGGGAAAACTGGTGTGAGGGCTCGGCTCCCAAGGCCTTGGCAGCTCCACCACTGTGGTTTTGCAGGGTTCAGCTCCTCAGGCTGTTTCAAGGGCTTGTGCTGAGTGCCTGTGGCTTTTCCAGGGACATGGTGCAAGCTGTTGGTGGATCTACATCCTGGGATCTGGAGGACAGTGACCCTCTTCTCACAGCTTTACTAGGCAGTATCCCAGTGGCGACTCAGTGTGGGGGCTCCAACTCTACATTTCTTCTCTGCACTGCCCTTGTAGTGGTTCTCCAAAAGGGCTCTGTCTCTGCAGCAGGCTTCCGCCTGGACATTGAGGCTTTTTCATACATCTCTGAAATGGGTGGAGGTTCCTAAACCTCAATTCTTGCACATTGTGTACCAGCAGGCTTAACAACACATGGAGGCTGCCAAGGCTCATAGCTTGCACCTTCTGAAGCAGAGACCCAAGCTGTGTTTGGGGTTCTTGAGCCACAACTGGGGACAGAGTAGTTGAGATGCAGGGAACAGTGTCCTGAGGCTGTGCAGGGCAGCGGGTTCCTGGGCCCAACTCATGAAAGCATTCTAGCCTCCTAGGCATCTGTGTCTGTGAGAAGAGTCTGCCATGAAGAATGCTGCTGCAAAGGTCTCCTAAATACTTTGAGGCCTTTTACCCATTGTCTTGACTATTAGCATTTTGCTCTTTTTTTACTTGTGCAAATTTCTATAGCCTGCTCTAATTCCTCCCCATAAAATAGGCTTTTCTTTTCTACCACATGGCCAGGCTGCAAATTTTCCAAACATTTACATCTGCTTCTCTTTTAAATATACATTCCAGTTTCAGATCATTTCTTTGCTCATGCTTATGAGCATATGTTGTTAGATGCAGCTAGACAATATTTTGAAGACTTTACTGCTTAGAAATTTCTTCAGGCAGATACCTTAAATCATCAATCTCAAGTTCAAAGTTCCACAGATCCCTAGGGCTGGGGCACTATCCAACCAGCTCTACGTGCAAGGTGAAAAAAAAGTGACCTTTGCTCCAGTTCTCAATTACTTCCTCATCTCCATCTGAGATCTTCTCAGCCTGGTCTTCACTGTCCATATCACTATCATCATTTGGTTCACAACTATTCAACAAGTCTCTAGGAAGTTCCAAACTCTCTCGCATCTTCTCATCTTCTTCTGAACCCTCCACACTCTCTGCTAGTTACCCAGTTACAAAGTTGTTAACTCATTTTCAGGTATCTTTATAGAAATACACCACTCCTAAATACCAATTGTTTGTATTAAATGGTAATGAATTATTTTTATCTAACTTTGTTTTCTGTTTTTTATTATTTTATTAAAAATGGCTCTTGAATTATTTATTGTTGCAAAACAAATTACCACAGACTTTACAGCTTATAATATACATATTTATTATGTCCAAGTTTATGTGGGTCAGCGTTCAGAATGTGGCTGAATAGAGTTCTTTTCTCAGGCTCTGATAAGGCTGAAATTAAAGTGTCAGCTGGACTGCATTCTCATCTGAAGGCTTGACTGGAAAACAATTTCTTTTAAGCTTATTTGTATTCTGCCTCAAGAATCTGACCAAAGACTTAAAAAAAATTTCTAGTTAAAGTGAATCTGAAAGTAAAGAGATAATAAGAGGTAAAGCCTTTGCTATTCCATAATATGTACTCTCAAATTAAAAAAAATATATAGAATAAAAGTAGACAATGACAAACCTCTTTGGTAGAGAAATAATAGAAAAACCACAGAGAATCAGCAACATATGGAAGAGTAAAAATGGGCAGAAATATGGTGCATATATTGCTTCTAAATATGTGTTAGTATATATAAATCCTGCATCTTTCCAGTGTCAATTTTAGTCTATATGTGATTTAAAAATGTCTCCAGGCTAGATAGTTTTTTCTATCAGACTTCGAATATGTATATGCAACTGACTACTCATGATTTCCATTTGAATATCTAAAAGTATCTGAAAGTCATCTGTTTTAGCTGTTGGCAATTCAGTGTTCCCAGTTGTTTATACTAAAAAACTTAAAATCTTCATAATTTTTTCTTTTCCCTTTACACCCCACAATCAAATACTTCAAGAAATTCCATTACTTGTACCTTCAAAAGTGCAGAATCCTATGACTTTTCACTATTTCTACCTTTCTCCAGTTTTATCCAAGTTGCTGCAAAGGCCATTAATTCATTTCTTTTTATGGCTGAGTACTATTCCATATATACATATATATAAATATATATAAATATATATAAATGCCTCCAGGCTAGATAGTTCTATCAAATGTCAAATACTTATATGCAATTGTATACTCATGATTTCCATTTGAAAAAAAATATATATATACATTACATATATATTTCTTTATCTTATTTATATATATAAAATTTATAAAATTTATTTATATATATAAATTTATCTTCTTGTTGATTGATGGGCTGTTGGGCTAGTTCCATATATTTGCAATTGCAAATTGTGCTGCTATAAACATGTGTGTGCCAATATTTTTTTCATATAATTACTTCTTTTCTTCTAGGTATACACCCAGTAGTGGGATTGTTGGATCAAATGGTTTTAGTTCCTTAAGAAACCTCCACACTGTTTTCCATAGTGCTTGTACTTGTTTACATTTCCACAGCAATGTAGAAGTGTTCCCTTTTCACCACATCCACACCAACATCTTTTTTTTTTTTTTTATTATGGCCATTGTTGCAGGAGTAAGATGGTATCACATTGTGGTTTTGATTTCCATTTGCCTGATCATTAGTGATGTAGAGCATTATATCCCTCATGAACATAAATGCAAAATTCTTAACAAAATACTAGCTAACTGAATCCAACAGCATATCAAAAAGATAATTCACCATGATCAAATGGGTTTCATACCAAGGATACAGGGATAGTTTAAAAGATGCGAGTCAATAAACGTGATACACCACATAAACAGAATTAAAAGCAAACATCATAAAATCATTTCAATAGATGCAGAAAAACATTTGACAAAATCCAGCAACATTTTATGATTAAAACCCTTAGCAAAATCGGCATACATGGGACATACCTCAATGTAATAAAGGCCATCTATGACAAAACCACAGCCAACATAATACTGAAAGAGAAAAGTTGAAAGCATTCTTTCTGAGAACTGGAATGACTCAAGGATGCTCTGTCTCACCACTTGTATTCAACATAGTACTAGAAGTCCTAGCCAGAGCAATCAGGTAAGAGAAAGAAATAAAGGGCATCCAAATTGGTAAAAAGGAAATCAAAGTATCGCTCTTTGCTAATGATATTATCATATACCTAGAAAATGCTAAAGACCCCTCCAAAAAGCTCCTAGAACTGATAAATGAATTCAGCAAAATTTCAGGATACAAAATTAATGTACACAAATCAGTAGCTCTGCTATACACCAAGAACAACCAAGCTGAGAATCAAATCAAGAAGTCAACCCCTTTGCAATACATGCAAAAAATAAAACGAAATGCTTTGGAATATACCTAACCAAGGAGATAAAAGACCTCTGCAAGGAAAACCACAAAACACTGATAAAAGAAATCATAGATGACAGAAACAAATGGAAACACATCCCACTCTTATGGATGGGTAGAATCAATACTGTGAAAATGACCACACTGCCAAAAACAATCTACAAATTCCATGCAGTTCCCATCAAAATACCACCATCAGGCCAGGCGCAGTGGCTCACGCCTGTAATCCCAGCACTTTGGGAGGCTGAGGCGGGCGGATCACGAGATCAAGAGATCGAGACCATCCTGGCTAACACAGTGAAACCCGATCTCTACTAAAAATACAAAAAATTAGCCAGGCGTGGTGGCGGGCACCTGTAGTCCCAGCTACTCAGGATGCTGAGGCAGGAGAATGGTGTGAACTTGGGAGGCAGAGCTTGCAGTGAGTCGAGATTGCGCCACTGCACTCCAGCCTGGGTGACAGAGCGAGACTCCGCCTCAAAGAAAAAAATAAAATACCTCCATCATTCTCCACAGAACTAGAAAAAGCAATTCTAAAATTCCTATGGAATCAGAAAAGACCCTGCATAGTCAAAGCAAGACTAAGCAAAAAGAACAAATCTGAAGGCATCACATTGTTCAACTTCAAAGTGACTATAAGGCCATAGTCACCAAAACAGCATGGTACAGGTATAAAAAATAGGCACATTGACCAATGGAACAGAATAGATAAGCCAGAAATAAAGCCAAATACTTACACCCAACTGATCTTTGATAAAGAAACAAAAACATAAAGTGGGGAAAGAGCACCCTATTCGACAAATGGTCCTGGGATAATTGGTAAGCCACATGTAGAACAATGAAACTGTATCCTCATCTCTCACCTTATACAAAAAATCAACTCAAAATGGATGAAAGACTTAAATCAAAGACCTAAAACCATAAAGATTCTAGAAGATAAAATTGAAAAAACCCTTCTAGACATTGGCTTAGGCAAAGACTTCATGACTAAGAACCAAGAAGCAAATGCAATGAAAACAAAGATGAATGGGTGGGACTTAATTAAACTAAAGCACTTCTGCACAACAAAAGGAACAGTCAGCAGATTAAACAGAGAACCCACAGAGTGGGAGAAAATCTTCACAATCTATGCAATCAACAAAGGACTAATATCCAGAATCTACAAGGAACTCAAATTAGTAAGAGAAACAAATAAACAATCCTATCAAAAAGTAGGCCAAGGACATGAATAGACAATTCTCATTCCATTTTCTTTGTTGCTTCATTTTTTCCCACATATCAAAGTAATTATTACTTCCAAATTCACATAAATAGACTTTCATTTTATATTCTGTTAATTGTCTGCACCCACTGCTCCACCTTAAATATAAATTACATAAGATGAATTACTTTTTGTAATTTTTATTTATTAATGTTTGCCTAGTGCCCAGAATAGCACATTAAAATACCCAATTCATATTTATTGAATTAACAAATTTGGTAATAAAATATTTATTTATACATCCATTATAGTAAATTTGCAAAGGACACACTTTGAAAACATCATATAATTATTCTGAGAGAAAAAATACAATATCTACAAAACCTATCCCATTAAACTCAAAAAAGTATTGCTACTTTTCAATAACTAGAGAGTCACACTAGTGTTGCATTTTCTTTTCAATCAACGGAGAGCATACTAGCAACCTGAAGTCCTATACGTACGAAGAGAAAATGACTTTCAATACCAGAACAAAATTCTTAAAGACCTGTAAAAACATCTAAAAGCAGGGCAATGGAAATTCTTAAGGTATATTTAAAAGAGAAAGAATATACTAAATATATTGGTAAAATAATTATCTATATCTTTAGTTTTAAATGTATTATCATTTCCAGATATTCTAGACACTATTCCTTTTATTTTTGATATTAACATTTCCTAATGTACATTTCAGTTTATTTTTTTCTACTTAATATACCTTGACTGAATTAAAGATTCAGAAATTTTTTTTTATCCAAAGAGATTGCTTTGGTCCTTGATAACTGTCAACTAAGTAAGATTTTGGCAGATCTCTTTTTTATAATTGTTCTGTAAGGAAGACCAATGTGTACAGATCCTCATATAATTTTTTATTGCAAATATATTTATGTAGTCTCTTCCATTATCTCAGCTGAGTTTTAAAAATTTCTGAACTTATGTAGTATATAAAAATTATTATTGGAGTGTGCACTCTTACTAGCATTCTTTCTGTGTCTACTGCAACTTATATAAACTTGATTTTGATTATTGCAGTACCAGGGTGGAATATCTTCTCCTATCATCTATGTTTCTGGACCAGTAGCTTTTCAAAAATAGCTACGGAAATATTTAAATAAATGTAGATAATGGGTTTTAAGAGTGAATCAGGAGCAGTGTTTGTGAAGGGCTGTGGTTAATGATAGGCTGGTAAAAACTGTAGTAGAAAACTCCTTGTAGTTATGATTGTCCGAGCCAGTGATAGCCAGTAAGAGTAAGAAAGATGCATCTTCCTTTATCTTACTATCTTAATACTATGCTCTATTTCTGAGTTTGCAGTGTTTTGGGGCCACTAGTAGTTTCTTTCAATACTTTTATTAGCTTTATGAGTAGTAGAAACATCAGTCAAAAAAGTACCCCATTTACACTTTTGGCTTGAACTACTTAACAATGTTCGGACTGTATCCATAGTATACAATCAGTTCCAGAACAGTGTTGAAACCAATCTGGTTATAATTTTTCTTGAAGTGGATAGCTATAATTGTATCTAAGTCATGCGGTAAGTGATAGAGACTAAAAATATTAGTCATTCTCTGGGCAAAGATTGAAACTGCTTGTGGGAATCAACTTTATTATACCTGATTGAAAAATGCTTAAGAAACCCCCAAAAACTGGTTAGATAAGTAAAAGCTTAAACATGCATTCTCATAAAAAACTACAGAGAGCATTTTCCCTGAGTGATAATCACAAAATAACCAAATGTTTAGAAGTCATTGCATTGAAACTTACTTATTTCTCCACCAAGCCATACTTACCGTATCTCCCCAATTAATGCACATCTGGATGGAAAGCTAGCATTACTTCCTGTTCAGTAAGAAGTCTACTATTGGGCTGCCTTCAAGAACCAAGTTGTGCTTCGGAGTTATCTCTGTGCTTTTCTCAATTTCCTAATTTTCGTATGCTCCAAAAGAAACATTTTAAAAATTATTAACGAATTCTCAGAATAAGAAGCCATTAGTCCTCTTTACTTAGGCATATTATATATTCTCCCAAATGATGAGAAATACTTTTAAAGCACTTAAAAAATATACTTGAACTACAAAAACAATATATTCAATTTGAGCAAACTCAGAAGTAATAAATACATATACATACTGTTTACAAATGGCTCTCTGAAAACAAGAAGTCTAACTACAACAATGTACAAATGTTACAAGATCCTTGGTGTGTAGTGTCTCCAGCTAGATTCTTGGGGTGTAGTGTCAGCACCTCTGTGTCCAGTGGTGCCTTTACCTTAATTTTGATCTGGCCCACTGGGCTTGTTCAGCACACTTAGCCTGGAGGCTACACTTGGCTTGAGGTACCAGCCTGCATCCCATCTCTGCCAAGGGTGAACCAGGCAGAGTGGTGAGGGGTTGTGAGTGAGCATGGGGTCTGGCAACTGTGCACAGCTGGACACACCAGCTGCCGTGGGACAGGCACCTTTAGGTGCCAGCATAGGCACTGGCTCCCTGCAAGGCTGCACTGGGCCATAAGCAACTTCTATGGCTGTCTTCAGGGAATGTGGTGGTGCCTGGAAGCTTAGTGATGCCAGGAATTGTACAGCCCTAAAGAGAGTGTCACAGCCCTGGGTAGGGGAGCTCCTAGGTCTGGGATTCCGAAAGGGCTGTGGCTTTTTTTCTCCTCCTCTCGTCTCTCCTCTTGTCATCCACAACTTGGTGAGCAAGGGATGTGTTTGCAAGATGAATAGGAACTTTATTGAATGATAAAACATCTCAGAGGAGGCCTGCAGTGGGTACCTCCTCTCCACAGCCAGGGTACCACAATGAGTATTCAGATCTCAGCAGAAATGGCAGCTCCCCTAGGCAGCTGATTATCCCATTGTCTCCTTGGCTCTCATGAGAGAAGGCAACTCCTTTCTGCAGCTGATCATACCATCCTCTCTTTAAGTCTGGCTGAGTCTGGGGCTTTTATGGGCCTCAGAGTGGAGGAAGTGAATGCTGATTGGTCCATTGGCAGTCATGGGTGGCCATGGGCAGGCCCAGGGAAGAGCACTACAAGTTTCCCTTCCAGCCTGGCTTCCAGGCTTCAGGCCCTCCCCAGCTTGGAGGCGCAGCTTCACAGGGGACCTGCCCCTTTCTGTCCAGGATCTTGTCTGCCTCCCACTGCTGTTTATGGCACTCAAGCTGTTTGTGCCCAGGGGCACCTGCAGATCAGGACCAAGCTGCCCTGAGTCCCTCCTCCTCGGCCTCCCTCTTGTGCTTCTTGGTGCCTAAAATCTGCAGGGGCCTGAGGCAGCAGGGAGCTGGCATGTCATGGCTTCCCTGAGCATGTGCACACCTGGCAGGGTTGCAACAGCACCTGGGCTTGGCTTCAACCTTGTTTCAAGACCAGAGAGGGAGCTGACAGTGGGGAGAAGCCAGGCAGCAGGAGGAGCAGGCACTTCTGAACCTGTGGGGCAAGGGGGTCTTCCCTGGGCCCCAAGAGTGCAGAGATGCCTGGGTCCGCAGCCTGGCAGGGCAGCTGCAGCTTTCCCCAGGGAGCTTCCGCCCTGCCAACTCTGAGAGGGTGGGGCTCCTACTTGTTGCTGGCTCCCACTGGTTCTGTGGAGCATGCAGCACCAGCTGCACCTCCTCATATGCTGGGGCAAGGGCTCTAAGTCCAACACATCATGCCTGGGCCCAGTGCTAAGCTGCTCCAACATGTGGAGTCTGGCTCTGCTGGTAGTGGCTGGCTCTATGGGGGTAGCATACAGCTCTGTGGTGATGTACGTTTTGCTCTGGGTGCCGCTCCCACTTCCTTCCCACTTCCTTCCTTCAGGGGCCCCTGAAGCACAGCCCACAACTTGGGCCCAGTCCCCACACTCCGTGTGCAAGTGTGGCACCACCTTGGGCCCAGCTAAACCTCAGGGCCCCTCTTTGCCTACTCCTCCATGCCTGATCATGTTGCTGTCCTGCCGCAGGCAGCTAGGTCTGGCCCCATCATGGTGGCTGCCGGGGGTGGGTTCCCATGGTGGCGAACTCCGGGGATGCTCCCAGGGGTGGGCTCCAGGGATTGCCCACCTCAGTATCTGCACCTGATGACCCTTGGTCTGTCCCTGTTCCCCACTGCAGCTGACATCATGGTAGTGATCACTTCAAACAGGCTGCCGCTGTCCTCACATACAATTTATAATTTAAATTAGAAAGAAACATAAATAAACGACATAAGATTTTGAATATAATCTATGTAAGTAATTTCAAAATATGTTTTATTATCTTCTCCATGCTAGAGAACATTTTATTAGTTTATATTTTAACTAATTTTAAAAACGTAAACATAAAATTACATGTGTTGTCAAGCTAACTCAATCGATGTTTGAGATAAAAATTAACCTAAGACCAAAGTATATTATTTTGATTTCCTTAGAGGAAAAGTTATGCAGTAATTACTTGAAGAGTAATTCTCTCTACAATTAGCATTGCAGATGCATCCATTATACCACTAAAGTACACTTAATAAATTAATACTTAAGAAATTACCAGACACCATAGGAAAAATAAAAATAAAAAGCCATTTTGAAAAAAGTTTAGAAAGTAAATCATTCCTAGAATGCTTGGAAAAGTATGTGCCTGTGTGCCAGTATTTCTGATCCTAAGAGTTATGAATATCTTATGAATAGTTATGAATATCACTGATAGTGAACCTGAGTGTAAATGCTTGGGCTTGGGTTGCAGATGGACTACAGATACAAATCTAAAGTAGTGTACCTAGTAGCACTGTAACTCAGTTAAGTACTTACTTTTTCATGCCCTCAGTATTTTTATCTGCAAAATAGGAATAAAATAGCTAATCATGTTATCATAAGGGTTAAGTTATGAGATATAATAACTATGAAGTACTTAATGGGTAAAGGAAAAAATAAGCTTAGCAGTTGTTGTTGTTGTTGTTGTTGACGACCTTATTTCACCATATACACTTGTTAGTAACTCAAAGGGGTTTCTCCAAAGTGAAATATTTAAAAAACGAATGAGATAAATTATTATTTTGTAATTAGAAAATATATTTAGCAATTTGTCTCACTGGATCATAAAACTAATTGTGGTATGAGACCATTTATAAAACACAAACCATGTATAGTTAGTAAGCACTCATAAATACTTAGATAAATTTAGTCTGTAATCTACAGCCATTAATAGAACTATCTTAACTAATTGCAAAAAGTAATGCGAGAGAACATAATATAGTCTAACGATAATTTAAAAAGGAAATAATGTTAAGAGAAAAGAGAAGAAATAAGAAAGGGTAGATCACGTAGGAGAAAATGCTAAGAATAACTCCTTTTCAATAATACACGTTTCAATGTTTATCACAGACGTGCTCTTATGATATAAAATGTTATTTTTTAGTAGCAAAGATAATTTTGGACTCTGTAATCAAAGTGTATTGGAATTTAAATTTTAAAATGTCACCAGACTGATGACACTGGAATTCATTAAATTACTTAAGATTGTATTTGGTAACAGAACTACTAGTGAATAATGCTAGTTATATTGCTTCATTAAATATATGTGATCTAGCTTATCTATATGAAAGATACTCAATTTAACTGCAAAATATATTTTTTATAATATTTTTCCAGCTCTATGTAGAGATATAGTCTGAATTAATTAATATTATTCTCTTTTTTTTATTACTCTCTTACATTTTAATAGGTTGCAGTCAATAAAATAGCCTTGGCCTTGAAATGCAGTAATCATCACATCATCAAAATAAAAACAATAATGAAAAAAAAAGAACTTGCAATATTTATTGAGCTTTTACCATATAGCAGACAGTATGCCAAGCCCCAATCATACACTTTACTAATTAGGTATAACAGTCTCATTTGTAAATGAGACTATTAGATGAGATCATATCTGTGAAAGAATGGTTTAATATAATATCAAAAATAATTTGTATTCATCTGATCTACAAGGAATCAGGAGTATTTATTTTTATCTCCGTGCCTCTGCCTAGAACATTTCTCTTCCCAATGTTCAAGGTTTGATGTATTTACTACATTTTATTCAAATACCATCTTGCATATCAATATTTCTGTTTATATCAAATATTATGTAATATGATATTACTTCTTTGTTTGTTCATTTTTTCAATGGTTTCCTTCTTAACTGAGTGCAGATTATATGGTCTGTCCTGGTTACTGCTGCATCCCCAGTGTGCAGAAGAGTGCTAGAGATATTCTTGGCATTTAATATATAACACTTGAGTGAAAAAACTGTTCTGTGATTCATGTATGTTCGTAACATAAAATTAGATATACTGACTGGTTATTTTTTTTTTCCTGCCTCTGCAAATATTTTACCCTACACTGTGTCTCAGGATGCTGTTTAAAATAGGTTCCCATGCCCTTTCAGTTCCGTTATGGTTGAGAAAATGGAAAGTACTTTTAGAAGATCAGCTAATTGGGAGAGAATGATGATGGAGGTTTTTTTTTTTTATTTTTATAAAAATGTGTTTTATTGTTTTAAAACAAGTCTATAAAAGTAGAAATCACATACAAAAGTACAGATTACTCTGATATGTTGGCAAAATAGCTTATGGCTGGACTTGAGTTTGGAAGTTCTGTATGTTTGAGGGTTTCCGGATGTCAGAGTCCAACCGGATCCTAACCCCAGCTCTTGTCACTAATCTGTAAACAATAATTTCAAGTAGTATTTAGCACTTTTTAACTACTAAGAAATTGAAGCATAATCATTTCCTTTGCAACCCAACTTTAAAATCTTCCTTAGGTCTAAGCAGATAAAGGCACTTCATACTATGTTTCTAACATTAACAATTTTTGATTTAAAAAAAAACAGTTAATACAAATGACGGTTGTAGGCTTTCTTTGTCATTACATTTTGAACATACGAACAATTCATCAATTTAAACTAGTTTTTGTGATTTTCAAGAAGTAGAATTTGGCTGGGCACGGTGGCTCACTCCTGTAATCCCAGCACTTTGGGAACCCGAGACGGGCGGATCACGAGGTCGGGAGATCCAGACCATCCTGGCTAACACGGTGAAACCCCGTCTCTACTAAAAATACAAAAAAAATTAGCCGGGCGTGGTGGCGGGTGCCTGTAGTCCCAGCTACTCGAGATGCTGAGGCAGGAGAATGGCGTGAGCCCGGGAGGCGGAGCTTGCAGTGAGTCGAGATTGCGCCACTGCACTCCACCGTGGGCGACAGAGCGAGACTCCGTCTCAAAAAAAAAAAAAAAAAAATAGAAGTAGAATTTAATCTTTTCACTTCTCTGTACCAGTTTAAAAATATATATATCACTGATGGTATCAAAAAGTCCCACATCTGGATTTTAACTCTTATGTAGGTATAAGTAGTGCTTACTATTGAAAAATGCATGGGACATATACCCGCTTCTATTGTGTATTTCTGATTGAAGAGATCATGCAGTTCCTCTTAGGGAACTGTAGGTCTGATAACCTTATAAATGGATAGTTTCAAACAATTATTGGTGAGAGAGCATTAAAATAAAAAAGACAATTTAAAATACTTGATTCCAGAGTAATATAAAACTAACCTTAAGAACCTCAGCGCTAAAGGAAAACAGCAGGCAACTTCAGAATTCTTCCATCCAAATTTTCAAGAATAGAGAGTGGATTAATACCACCTTTCTAAACCAAAGCTAGTCATTTTAAAAGCTAAAGGACCCATGTTAACATAATTTGATTATCAAGTTAGAAAACCACAATTACATTTCTCATCTAATTTAGATTCTGGAAACACAGTAACTTAATGAACATTACAATACTTCAAATTAACCTGTCATAGCAAACTGTCTGCTGGGCCTTCAAATCCTATACCCATTCTATACCTCTGGGTTTTGCAATGTTTGGTCTTTTGTAAGTTTTAAGGTGAATTACATGGGTTTACTTATTTCTATTAACCTAATTTCAAATCTAAAGGCAAAATGATGATGGAGTTTTTTTTTTTTCTTGTCCACTCTTCATCAGGCCATAAATTGCCAGAGATCATGCTTTTCTATTGAAAACACAGCTCTTCTAAGGCAGCCCTTACTTAGAGCTCCAGATATCCTCAGACAGTTTCTATTACCGCTCTCCTTTTGGTTTAGAATAATAGCTGATTTCAGTTATTTTTATCCTCTGTGTGCCTCAACATGTCTTAGTGGTTCCTGTTAGCCTTGACAACACTTTTGTGATGTGCAAAGCAGGAAGTGTAAGATGAGAATGGAAAGACAGACAGTTGCTCACGGTGTGAGTAAGGTAAATTGGTAGAAATTTGAATTCACTTTAAAGCTAAAGTGAGCAAGATTTGCTGATGCATTAAATGTGCATTGTTAGAGTGAAGTATAAAGGGTGATTTCTAACATTTTGATCTGTATAAAAGACAGAATAGAGATGCTGTTTATTAAAGTGGTGAAAACTGTGGTTGGTCAACTTAATGGGAGAACAGCCAAAAATTGTCTTAGACATGTTATTTTTAAATACCCTATACAATACATATTAACCATGCAATAAGAATTTCAAATGTTGAGCCTAAAATATAAAATATGCACTTGATAGAGATAGGATTTACATTCCTAGCACAAAATGAGTGTATATGGAAGACAAAATGGCTTAGAGTGGATTCTGCTTGCTCAAAGAATAGTGAAAATATGACTTGTTCTCTCAATGTGAACAAACTGATAACCAGAGAAAACTTCTTTGTATAGACTACTTAATATTTTAGTTAAAAATTATTTTAAGATGCATGACTCACATGGAAGAAATATTACCTAAGGCATTAGAAACAAAATAAGACAAAACTATGAATCAAGAGAAGAAATGGCTACTAAGTCATTGTTTGTGCTGAGGGATTATACTGATAAGTGGTAGTCTCTGTACTGCTAGCTTGGATTTTAATAGATTTTCCATGATGAATACAAGGTAAAGTCTGGTTCTACTGTACTAAGGGAGATCAAAATTGATGAACCCTGCTTAAAGCCAAGAAACCTAATAAAAAACGTATTTAAAAGTTACACCAGAATGCAACTTGCATGGCTGATGGAAATAGTGAATAAATTTACCTGACTCAGGCTCTGTTCTGAGTTAGATAAAATTAAGTTTATCCTGAAATTTTTTTATTGTAAGCACTTTTTCAAGTAATTTTGGGGTTAAATGTCAAGCTAAATATATGGCACTAAAAGCTCTAAAATATAACTCATGTTTTTGTAGCAAATAAAGATGATATTGAATAGAAGTAAACGGGAGTTTTAGTGTCCACCACAACCAGGGTAGTAACTATTAAAAAGTAAAATATTTTCCTCAAATAAATAAATGTGCTTATTAAGAATAAATAAATTCTTAAGAATAAATTCTTTCAAATAAAGAATTTTATTTTTCAAGAAATAAAAATTCATAAACACCACAAACACATGAGAAAAATAAGATCATAAATCAGAGAAAGGGAGATAAGAAAAACAAATAATAAGATGATTTAAGTCAGAAAGTGCAGGAATTATCTGATCACAATATAAAATAAATATGTATAAAGTGTTCAAAGTATAAAAGAAGTAATCAAAAAAGAATAATGAAACATAAAACTGTCAAAATAAACAGAATTGGAAGAGAACCAGTCAGAATCTCTGTAAATGAAAAATAAGATAAGTGAAGACAGCAACAATATTTGAGTTGTTTTAAAAGGTGAAAAGATTAGACCAGGTGAAAAGATTAGACTAATTGAAAAAGAGAATTATGGAACTAGAATGCAGACCTATAGAAACTACTCATAACTGGGCACAGATAGACAAAGAGTTGGAAAATATATAGGACAAGTTGAAACAATGTGGATAGAGTGATAAAATTTAACACGTCTAACTAAAACTTTAGAGAGTTTTTTTAAAGTATATTAAGAACAAAAGAGTGGCAATATTCTAATAAATAATATATAAAAATTATCAAAGTTATGAAAAATATAAATTATCAGATTCAGGAAACTTAGTGAATTACAAGAAATACTTTCACGTAGACATATTGAATAGAAACTGTAACACAAACATACATGCACAGCCACACACACAATTTTGAAAGCTGTCAGAAAAGGAAGACTGTGCACCTACCAAAAATAAAACAAGATACAAAATGAAAATTAGACCAACAGTTGAGTTCCAAAGAGCAAAACTGTAATGCAGAAAAGACTTGAGTGACAAATTTTAGGCTTGAAAATAATAAGTAAAACCTTGTAGCCCTACTGGAACTGTAATCAAAAAGGATTATTTGGTTTATTTTAATCTTTTTAATGGAGAAAAACTACATGATGCAAACATTTAATTATATAACTCAATATATATGATAAAATCAATTTTCTAATGTATTAGCATATATTAGTTTTATCTGTTGCTGAACATCATGTGAGGGCAATCATAATCTATATGCTCTGTTTATAGATTTTAATCTGTGAAACAGATCCATGTTGCATGTTGTCATAATTGTGGTTTTCTAATTGTTGAATAGAATTCTATTAGAAGTCCATTATAAGAATATAGCATGATCAGTTTAACTATCCTACCGTTACTGTTGCTAAACATACCTGCCATTTCCGTTTTGTCTAATAGTATTAAAGACACCACAATTATTTCTGCACCCAACTGTTGATGGATATATATGACCATTTCTTTTTTTTCTTTTTTCTTTCTTTTCTTTTTTTTTTTTTTTTGAGACAGAGTCTCGCTCTGTCACCCAGGCTGGAGTGCAGTGGCGCGATCTCGGCTCACTGCAAGCTCTGCCTCCCAGGTTCATGCCATTCTCCTGCCTCAGCCTCTCGAGTAGCTGGGACTACAGGCACCCGCCACCACAACCAGCTAATTTTTTTGTATTTTTAGCAGAGATGGGGTTTCACCGTGTTAGCCAGGATGGTCTGTATCTCCTGACCTCGTGATCCACCCGCCTCAGCCTCCCAAAGTGCTGGGATTAAAGGCGCGAGCCACAGTGCCCGGCCACATGTGACCATTTATTTTGGCACATTTGTATATGTTGTCAATGTTTCTGATTTTGGCTATTCTAATAGGTTTATAATGGCATTTAGGGTTTTTTTTTTTTTAAATTGCAAGTTCCTAGTAACATATGATATTGAGCCTTCTTACATGTGCTTATTTGCCATCTATATGTCTTCCTTAATAATGTGTCTGTTCAGGTTTTTACCGACTTTTTAATCATGTAGTTTTTATATTGTTGAGTTTTAAGTGTTCTTTGTATATTTTAGATAATAGTTCTTTATTAAATATGTTCTTTAAAATATTTTCTTCCATTCTATGGCTCGTCTTCTCACTCTATTGAGAATGCCATTTTCAGAGCAGAAGTATCTTATTATAATTAAATCCAGCTTGTCAATTCTTTCTTTCATGGATCATATCTTTGCTGTTCATATTTAAAAAGTCATTGCCATACCAAAGGTCATCTTGGATTTTTCCTATATTGTCTTCCAGGAGCATTATAGTTTTGTGTTTTACATTTAAGTCTATGATTCTCTTTCAGTTAATTTTTTGTGAAGGGTGTAAGATTTGTGTCTGGTTTTATTTTGTTTGAATGTAGATGTTTAGTTATTCTTAAACCATTTGTTGAAAATACCATCTATTTTTTCCATTGTATTGCCTTGACCCCTTTGTCAAAAATCAGTTGCCTATATTTATGTGTCTATTTGTGGAAAAATCTGTAATTCATGGAATTTGATAATTTCATTTAAATTGTCAAATTCATTGCCATAAGGTTTTTGATAATAATTTGTTATCATTCTAATAGCTGGAGGATCTATCATCCTATTCTTTTGTATTTCCTAATTTATGGTTTGTTTCTTATTTCCTTGATTAGTCTTACTAAAGATTTAACAACATAATTAATCTTTCCAAAGAAACAACTTGAATTTTTTAATGGTACTGAAGGACAGCTTTCTTTGTTGTTTAACTTCTGCTCTTATACATTTCTTTGCTTCGGCTTAATTTATTTTTTAATGGCTTAATTATATAGATTAATTCACTATTGTTATTTGCATGACTGTTGTTATCATTTTATTTCTTACTACTGACCTATTAGTAATATCTTTTTGTTTTTTTTCTAGTGGTTAACTGACAGATTGCATGCCATTACATTGACTTATTTTAATCTGGCTACATTTAAACCTTTTCATTTTCTGGACAATACAATAACATTGCACCATTTACATTTTCCCACATTTTATGCTATATTTCTCATACATTTAATTTCCATAAATATTTTAAATCTCTGTAGACATTCTTATTTTTAAATATATTGTTATCCATTTATGTTTATTATACATTGAGTTGGAATTCTTCACTTATTACTACATTTTTATGCTTCTATTTAGAATTATTTTCTTTCTGCCAGAAAAAATCTTTTTAGTATTTCTAGATACTAAAGATTAAAGACTATATACTAAATACTCTAGATTAGTAGTGATTAATTCTATCAGTTTCTATTTGTCTGAAAACATCACTCTTTCCACTCCCATTTTGAAAAATATTTTTCTTTGGACACAGAATTCTATGCTGGCACTTTGTTTACTGTCAGTGCATTCAACATGTCACTCCATTGTGCTCTGTTTCAAAGTTTGTCTTGAATAGTTAGGTATGATTTTGTAGTTGCTCTTGGATACTTTCAAAATTTTCTCTTTCTCAGTTGTCAGCAGTTTGATTCTGAAGTGCCTGGGTTGTTTCTTTGTATTTATTCTCCTTCTGAACATGAGGAAAACATATGCAAAACAAAATTCACTGTTCTTAGTCATTATACTGGAGGGGTAATATTAGTATTGCCATTTTGAAACTGTCATGTGTTTAATACTGAATACAGTAAATGAGCCATCATATGATACTCTCCTTTTATCATTATCTATCATTAAGAGTTAGGATTTTCTTGTGGAGGAAGAGACATAAAGACGCAATAGAGAAAAGGGTAAGTAAAAAACCCATAGTTTTATATTAGGGTTAAAAGTATCAGTAGAAACTCTTGATGCACCTTTTCTTTAATATTTATTTTAACACACACACACACACATATGCATGCATGATGTGTTTTGCTCTTGTGAATTGTGTTTGTGACAGAGACATTTTGAATCTCTCAACTAATCTAGTCATAGAACATCAACAGCTTTCACACAAAATGAAAGAGCTATAGATAGTCATAGACAGATAGAAAGAGACATTGGAAACAGAAAGAAATTGCTGTCCACAGAAGAGGCCTAGAAACATTGATTAGCCCAATGACAAAGAGATTCTCTGTTTAGAATATTCTCCCCAAAGAATATTAAGTCTTTCTTGGAGAAATGGCAGATTTTAGGTCTGTGACAGAAATTATACAAGATGAGTTGGAATATAAGATTAAGGACATTATCAAAGACCACTAGAATCCTGTCAAAAGGGCTCAGAACCAACTTTCAGAGGCTGTGACCGTTGGAAACATGAGACATCATGAGCCTCAAAAAAAAATTGTAATAGACTGAAATTTACCAAACATACTTATATCCATGATTTCATAACGTTATTAAAATATTTTGCCTACCAATAATGTTAAAGAAGTAACTCAATTCCTTTTTTTTAAATTTCAACTTGTAGATACAGAATATACATGCACAGATTTGTTACATGGGAATATTGTGTGATGCTGAGGTTTGGATTACAGATCCCATTATCGTGATAATGAACATAGTGCCTACTATGGTTTTTCTTTAATAGAGCATAGTTTTTTTTTTTAACCCACTGCCCTTTCCCTCCACTCTCTATGACTAACAGTAGTCCATAGTGTCTACTGTTCCCATACTTATCTTTATGTGTGCTCAGTGCTTAACTCCCACTTATAAGTAAGAACATGCGGTATGTGTTTTCCTGTTCATGTGTTAATATTGCTTAGTATCATGGCCTCCAGCTTCATCTATGTTGTTGCAAAAGACATAATTTCATTCTTTTTTATGGCTACAAAGTATTCCTTGGTGTTTATGTACCACATTTTTTTAATCCAATTTATCATTGATGGGCACCTGGGTTGATTCCTCGTCTTTGCTATTGTGAATAGAGCAGGGATGATCATGCAAATGCATGTGTCTTTTTAGTAGAATATCTTATTTACTTTTGGGTATATATCCAATAACAGGATTGCTGGGTCAAATCATAACTCTGCTTTAAGTTCTACGAGAAATCTCCAAACTGCTATCTGCAGTGGCGGAACTAATTTACATTCCCATCAACAGTGTTTAAGTGTTCCCTTTTCTCTGCAGCTTTGCCAACATCTGTTTTTTTATGACTTTTTAATAATAGCCACTCTGACTGTTGTGAGATGGTATCTTGTGGTTTTGATTTGCATTTCTCTGGTGACTATGGATGCTGGTCATTTTTTCATATGTTTGTTGGCTATTTGTATGTCTTCTTTTAAGAAGTATCTGTTTATGTCCTTTGTGTATTTTTTAATTGGGTTATAAGAAATCAGCAGTCACACAAATGAATGGAAAAACATTCCATGCTCATGAATTGGAAGAATCAATATCATCAAAATGGCCATACTGCCCAAAGCAATCTACAGATTGATTGCTATTCCTATAAAACTACTAATGACATTTTTCACAGAATTAGAAAAAACTATTCAGCAATTCATATGAAACAAACAAACAAAAAGCCCAAATAGCAAAGGCAATCCTAAGCAAAAAGACCAAAACTGGAGGCCTCACAGTACCTGTCTTCAAACTATACTATAAAGCCACAGTAACAAAAACAGCATAGTACTGTTACAAAAGCAGATATGTAGACCAATGGAACAGAATAGAAAACTCAGATATAAAGTCATACACCTACAGCCATCTGATTCTCAAAAAGGTGAACAAAAATAACACCTCACTGTCAATATTAAGCAATAGGGAAAGGACTCCCTGTTCAATGAATAGTGCTTGGATAAGTAGCTTACTATATGTAGAAGATTGATGCTGGATCCCCTACCTCTCACCATATACAAAAATTAAATCAAAATTCATTAAAAATGTAAGATCTCAAAATGTAAAAATCCTGTAAGACAACCTAGGATATGCTCTTCTCAACATTGGCCTTTGCAAAGAATACTTAGTAAGTTCCCAAAAGCAACTGCAACAAAAACAAAAATAAAGTGGAACGTAATTAAACTAAAGAGCTCTAGCACAGCAAAATAAACCATCAACAGAGCAAACAGATAACCTACAGAATGGGAGAAGATATTCACAAACATTGCATCTGAAAAATGCTCAAATCCAGAATCTATAGAGAATGGAAACAAATTAACGTGCAAAAGACTAACTCAATTTTTGACAGCTAATAAAAAACAGAAAGGTTCAGATATGTTTTTTATCCTTCCTACCTAAGTAAACAATATTAAAGGAAAGTAGTTTCTTATGAAAAATTCTTGTTAAATAAAAATATACAGAGTTAGCATAGTATTGCCTTTTATCTTCCAAATTAGCCAACATAGTTATGGAGTATCAACAGATTTAATATCACAAAAAGAAAGACAAGCAGACATTATAAACCTCTAGTTAAGGAAAAGCTGTAGTGTCTCCAAAGGAACTGATCATGAATCTAGTAAAGCCCCTGGATCCTGCCGCCAATTTTAAGAAAAACAAATGACAGAAGATTATGTCAAACCCCATCATATGCTAATCATTCAGCAAAATCCACACTGAAAAGATCTACAGATTAAATTTCCTCTGGTTTTCAATAAATACATTCTAAGAAAGATAAAGGGGAAGGAAGGAGAACCTAAAGAGTAAAGCAGACTTAAAAGGCACTGATTTTCAGTGGGCAAGACTTAATTATGGTATCTAGGGAAATATATTAGGCAAAAACATTTTGAAGAAATTAAAGGAAGTAAATTATTATAAAAGGATAGTGCTGACTGAAAAAATTAAGAGAGGTAAGATTAGGGTAGAACACATGGAGGAAATTCTAGGGTGGTTCTCAGCGCTTTCTTTCCTGACATGGGTGGTGGTTGCATATTGTAACTGCTTCTATCGTATCACAAGAATATGTTTTAAAAAATAAAATATATGGAAATAAATCTAGCAAAAAATGGGAAAAATAATCATGGAGAAAATAATAAACAATTTGAATGGCATTAAAAAGACATAAACATATAATGTGTATAAATGTAAATTCTCAGATCATCTCTATAAGGCAAGCTAAAGCAACTTCTTAAGATTGTGTGGAAAATAGTAAGCTGATTCTAAAAAAACACTTTACTAGTTATCAAATCTTTTTATAAATGTATGATAATAATAAAGCAATGTGGTATTAGTTCAAGAATAGAAAAACCAATAGCAAATATTCGGCCAAGAAACAAACACATTTATATTACTACTTGATAGTTTTTCATATCAGTTTAGAAAGGATAATAAATGTTGACAACATTATATATTCGTATAAAAATAAAATTGATTAACTTTTTCTCACCATTAATACAAATTCTTCCCTTTGCATTGAAGACCTGAATATGAAAGTCTAAAGAGAATATTTAATGTCCTCAAAATAAAACAAGCTGAAACCTTAAATTAAAATAAATAGTTTTCATGATGACAAGATTATTTTCATGCAAAGATTTATAAGGTAAGTGGAGAGAAGTTAAAAATTGGAAACCTATATTTACATCACTAATAAGCCTCCAACAGATATCTATAAATTAAAGAAGAAAAAAGAAAAACTACTCAACAAAAAGCAGGCGACTGACAAATCTCATTAGCAAACATGGAAATGTTAGTTCAAGCCCCAATGAGATGTCATTTCACACACAAATGACCGACAAAAATGTGTGTCTAACTATCTTAAGCTTGAGTGTTATATAAAGTGAGAGGACAACAGAGTAAGATGTTTTGAAGCAACCATTTGTGAAAAAGGAGAAAATCCAGCTATATTAAATTCACTAGAAAAGTTATTATGCTTACGGTAATTATTCATCTGATTTGCAGTCACATGGATTAGGTAAATATCGAAATGAGCAAAAATTAGAAATTCTGACAAAGCAAGAGCAGAAGAGATGTGAAAGAGTAGGAACTATCAGTTATTGCTGGTGCGTTTGCAATTTGACACAGTAGTTTGAGAACAATTTGGCATCATCATGTAAAATTAAAGAGTTGCATGTCCTAAAATTTAGCAATTCACTCCTGGATACATAACCAAGGAAAAACTGGAATTTAAATGAACTGAGACATGTTCATGTTTATAGCAGCATTATTTCTAATAGCAAAAGCTGGGGACAAAAAAATAAATTTGTTTTAGTATATTAGTACTAAATAATACTAACAGCACTAAAATAAGCGAAGTCTACAAATATCAACATGGATCAACAACTAAACAAAATATATGATTGAGGAAAATAATCATAAAGGAGCACTATATAGAAATGTCAAAATGAGGCAAAAATAAACTACGCATTACTAAAGAGCAAATGATCAAAATACATAGGTTTTGTTTATAAATACAAAGATATTATATTAAAAGTATAAAAAGTCAAAGAAATATTAATGTTAGATTTAAAATAGCATGTATTTCTTAGGAGAGGATATGAGATATGATATGGGCATAAAAAGGCTTTAATGTTTATAAAAATATATATCTTAAATTGAGTAATAAGCACCAATTTTATGATGATTAAAGTAATAGATTTAAACATTGTATATATTCTTTAATAAATATATTTTATAGTGATATTGCTTTTAAAAACTGTAACACAAGCATTTATCTTGTTGCTATTCTGATAGTTCAGAATTGCTTCTACAATGACTTCCTTTTCATCTGTGTATTTAGCTATTTAGATGGCTTTCTATTATTCACTAGTATAAAAAATACTAAAATAAATTCTTCATTCGCACTACGTGTAGTCTTTTAGTATGTAATCAATATAAGTATAATTATATTGAACCCAATTCCATTAAATATCGTATTTGATTTTACCTTGGATTCATGGTGTTACCTATAATTTTCCTCACAATGACGAAGAATGTCATTTGCAAAGACAAAGAATATTAACAATGAAATAGAAAATTTGAAAGCATTAGAAGGAATAGGAATATGATTTCTTAGGGTTTGCAAACCTCAGGCAAAATCACCTGCACACCTGTATATTATTCAGTCAGGCACCTCTCTCTCTCTTCAGGTCTAGGACCTATTCTTTATGCAGGAATGATTGTATGTGTCATTCCTGGTGAATCTCATACCTTCCAATTTAAAAAATAGGTTAGCAATGCTGTTATTACTCACAATGCCATGGTTCTTTGGAAACTGTACATGAATAATATAGAACTTTTTGCCTCTGCAATTCTCATTAAATAATATTTATTTAAGCAGAGGTTCCCACTGAGAAGAAAGAAACGGTGAGTGAATCCTCCCCCAGCAACTAAGGTATCCAGGTCCTCTCCTTGGGACTGACTAGGCAGCTGGCCCGAACCATGGAGAGTGAGGAAAAGCTGGGTGGCAAAATGGCCCACCTGGGAGCCACAGGGAGCAAGGGGAGCTCTCACCCCCAGCCAAGGGAGGCAGTGAGTGCTTGTGCTACCCTACCCAGGAAACCATGTATGTTCCACAGATCTGTGCAACCCATGGATAAGAAGATCCCTTTGTGAGCCCTATCAGCAGGGCCTTGGGTCCCAAGCACAGAGCTGTGTAGATTCTCAGTGGCTGCTCAGCTGGAGGCTGCCCAAGACTACCAAGTTCCTGGGGCAAAGGGGTGGCTGCCATCAGTGCAGCTTCAGCCAGCTGTTTTCCCCTGCCAGTGCCAGGGAGACTGGACAGTTTGGACCCAGGAGAAATTCCCCACAGTGCACCACAGCAGCTGTGGCAGATCGTGGCCAGACTGCCTCTTTACGCCAGATCCAGACCACCTCTTTATGCCAGACCCAGATCTATTCCTCCCCACCAGGCAAGGCCTCCCTGTGGGAATTTCAGCAATTTCAGTCAGGGGTTTATGGACAGAACACTGATCTCCCTGGAACGTAGCCCCTGAGGGGTAGGGTGGCCACAGTCCCTGTGGATCAGTGGGCTTAGACTTTTCCCCTGCTTTATCTGAGGAATCTAGGCAGAGAAGTGTGATTCCCTCCAGCGCAGCACACCCCTTCCACCAAGGGGCAGCCAGAGAGCTTTGTTAAGTGGGTTTCTGATCCCATGCCTACTGACTGGGAGAGACCACCAAGCAGTGGTCATCAGACAACTTACACAGGAGTGTTCCTGCTGGTATTAGGTTGGTGCCCCTCTGAGACAGAGATCCTAGAGGAAGGAGCAGGCAGCCATCTTTGCTGTTCTGCAGCCTCCACTGGTGACACCTCCAGGGGCAGGATAGACCCAGATGAATAGGGTCTGGAGTGAACCTCCAGGAAACTGCAGCAGCCCTAATGGAAGAGGGGCCTGACTGTTAAGCAAAAAACAAATAGAAAGCAACAACAACAACAGCATCAAGAAAATAGTCCCCACAAAAACCCCATCCACATATCAGCAGCCTCAAAGATTAAAGCTAGATAAACTCAGGAAGATGAGAATTAATGAAAAAACACTGAAAACTCAAAAAGGCCAAGTGCCTCTTCTCATCCAAATTATCATAACACCCTTCCAGCAAGAACACAGAACTGGGCTGAGGTTGAGATGGAGAAACTGAAAGAAGTAGCCTACAGAAGGTGGGTAATAATGAACTTTGTTGAGGTAAAGGAGCATTTTCTAACCCAATGCAAAGAAGCTAAAAACCATAAGACAACATTATAGGGAGCTGTTAACCAGAATAAGCAATTTAGAGGGGAATATAAATGACCTGATGGAACTGAAGAACACAACAGGAGAACTTAAGAAGGCAACCACAGTATCAATAGCTGAATAGACCAAGCGGAGAAAATAATTTCAGAGACTGAAGATGATCTTGCTGAAATAAGACAGGCAGACAAGATTAGAGGAAAAAAAGAATGAAAAGCAATGAAGAAAACCTTTTGAGAACTATGGGATTATGTAAAAAGACTGAAGAGACTGAACCTATGATTGATTGGGGTACCTAAAAGAGATGGGAAGAATGAAACCAAGTTGGAAATAATACTTCAGGATATCACTTAGGAGAACTTCCCCAACCTAGCAAGACAGGCCAACATTCAAACTCAGGAAATCCAGAGAACCTCAGTAAGATACTCCATGAGAAGACCAACTGCAAACCACATAATAATCAGATTCTCCAAGGTCGAAATGAAGGAAAAAATGTTAAGGCAGCCAGAGGGAAAGGCCAGGTCACCTACAAAGGGAAGCACATCAGAATAACAGTGGACCTCTCAACAGAAACCATACAAGCCAGAAGAGATTAAGAACCAATATTCAACATTCTTAAAGAAAAGAATTTCCAAGCCAGAATTTCCTATTTGGTCAAACTAAGCTTTATAAGTGAAGAGAAATAAAATATTTTTCAGACAAGCAAATGCTGAGGGAATTTATCACCACCAGGCCTACCTTGCAAGAGCTCCTGAAGGAAACACCAAATATGAAAAGGAAAAACTGTTACCAGCCACTACAAAAACACACTGAAGTATACAAACCAATGACACTATGAAATACTACATTAATAAGTCTGCAAAATAACCAGTTAGCTTCATGATGACAGGATCAAATTCACACATAGCAATATTAACCTTAAATGTAAATGGGTTAAGTGCCCCCAATAAAAAGACAGCAAATAGCAAGCTGGATAAAGAGTCACGACCCATCAGTGTGCTGGATTCAATAGACCCATCTCACATGCAAAGACACACACAGGTTCAAATTAAAGGGATGGAGGAAAATTTACCAAATAAATGGAAAGCAGAAAAAAGCAGGGGTTGCAATTCTAGATTCTGACAACACAGACTTTAACCAACAAATATCAAAAAAGACAAAGAAGGGCATTACATAATGGTAAAGGGTTCAATTCAACAAGAAGAGCTAACTATCCTAAATATATATGCACCTAATGCAGAATCATTCAGATTCCTAAAACAAGTTCTTGGAGACCTACAAAGAGACTTAGACTCCCACACAGTAACAGTGGGAGACTTTAACACCTCACTGTCAATATTAGACATTGAGACCGAAAATTAACAAAGATATTCAGGACTTGAACTCAGCTCTGGATAAGGTGGACCTAATACATATCTGCAGAACTCTCCACCCCAAAACAACTGAATATACATTCTTCTCAGTGCCACATAGCACTTAATCTAAATTCGTCACATAATTGAAAGTAAAACTCTTCAGCAAATTAAAAAAAAAACTGAAATAATAAGCAGTCTCTCAGATAACATCACCATCAAATTAGGGCTCAAGACTAAGAAACTCACTCAAAACTACACAACTACATTGAAATTTAACAACTTGCTCCTGAATGACTCCCAGGTAGATATGAAGTTAGGCCAGAAATCAAGATGTTCTTTGAAACCAATGAGACAGATGATTGTATCAGAATCTCTGGGATGCAGCTAAAGCAGTGTTAAGAGGGAAATTTACAGCACTAAATGTCCTCATCAAAAAGCTAGAAAGATCTCAAATTAACATCCTAACATCACAACTAAAAGAACTCGAGAACCAAGAGCAAAGAAACAACAAAGCTAGCAGAAGACAAGAAATGAAAAAGATCAAAGTGATGCTGGCAGAATTGGCTAGCCATATGCAAAAATTGAAGTTGGACCTTTTGCTTACACCTTATATGAAAATTGACTCAAGATGAATTAAAGACTTAAATGTAAAACCCAAAACTGTGAAAAAAACCCAGAAGAAAATCTAGGCAATATCATAGTCTTGGGCAAAGATATCATGACCAAAACACCAAAAGGAATTGCAACAAAAGCAAAAATTGACAAATGGAATTAATTTAAAGTAAAGAGCTTCTGCACAGCAAAAGAAACTATCATCAGAGTGAACAGACAACCTACAGAGTGGGAGAAAATTTTAGCAATCTATCCATCTGACAAGGTTCTAATATCCAGAATCTACAAGGAACTTAAACAAATTTACAAGAAAAAAACAAACAAACAACCTTAAAAATTGGGCAAAAGACATGAGCAGACACTTCCCAAAAGAAGACATTTAAGTGGCCAAGAAACAAATGAAAAAAAAAGCTCAACATCACTGATCATTATAGAAATGCAAATGAAAACCACAATGAGGTACCATCTCATGCCAGTTAGAATGGTGATTATTAAATAGTCAAGAAACAACAAATGCTAGTGAGGCTGTGGGGAAATAGGAACATTTTTACACTATGGGTGGTAATGTAAATTAGTTTAACCATTATGGAAGACAGTGTGTTGATTCCTCAAAGACCTAGAACCAGAAATACCATTTGACCCAGCAATCCCATTACTGGGTATATACCCAAAGGAATATAAATCATTCCATTATCAAGATACATGCACTTGTATGTTCACTGCAGCACTATTCACAATAGCAAAGCCATGAAATCAACGCAAATGCCCATCAATGATATACTGGATAAGGAAAATGTGGTACATGTATGCTGTAGGATACTATGCAGCCATGAAAAGGATGAGATTGGCCGGGTGTGGTGGCTTATGCCTGTCATCCCAGCACTTTGGGAGGCTGAGGCAGGTGGATCACTTGAAGTCAGGAGTTCGAGACCAACCTGGTCAATATGGTGAATCCCTGTCTCTACTAAAAAAAATACAAAAATTGGCTGGGCATGGTGGCAGGCACTTGTAATCCCAGCTGCTCAGGAGGCTGAGTAAGGAGAATTGCTTGAACCTGGGAGGTGAAGATTGCAGTGAGCCAAGATTGCACCATTGCACTCCAGCCTGGGCAACAAAAGCTAAAACTCCATCTCAAACAAAAAAACAATGATATTATGTCCTTTGCAGGGACATGGATGGAGCTGGAAGCCATTATCCTCAGCAAACTAATAAACTAATGTAGGAACAGTAAACCAAACACCTCATGCTGTCACTCATAAGTGGGAGCTGAACAATGAGAGAACATGGACACAGAACAACACACACTGGTCTGTTAGTGGGGGTAGGAGGAGGGAGAGCATTAGGAAAAATAGCTAATGTATGCTGGGCTTAAATCCTAGGTGATGGGTTGATAGGTGCAGCAAACCACCATGGCACCTGTTTACCTGTGTAACAAACCTGCACATCCTGCACATGTATCCTGGAACTTAAAATAAAATAATATTTACTTAATGCATCATTATTCTTGACACTAACTTATTCTTTGTGCCACCTGTGAATACTGAACTCCAAATACTCTCTTAACTGTTTTTACTATACTTTATGGTAATGACAACAAAAGCAAATTTACCCAGCATATGCAATATAATGTGAAAAATAATTCATTTTCTGGTCATATTTAATTTACTATGTGGGACTTTATAGCATAAACTCTATCTTCTTTGATCTCTTGAGGTCAAAACATGCAATCCTAGAACATGACCTCTTTCCATGTTGACCATACTTCTGCCTTCCACAAAGTAATACCAGTAGGAGAATAGTAAAGTGTCCAGAAAAGGGTGTTAATAGCGGCCCCACTTGAGCAGAATGTGTCTGTCTTTCTCCCAACATGACCGTTGACAAATCCAGGAAAGCCTAATGTCACTGTGTAAGTGGAGGTAAGAGAGGACATCAAGCAAAAGGTCCTGTTTTGCTTGCAGGCTGTCTCCAAGTCTTCAGAGGAAGTATTCTGTGGCCACCCCAGAAGGACTGCCTCATCCAGTGAAGACAACAGAAATGGTAGGATAACATCTCTGAGTGCAATGGCAAGGATATACAAGGTTAAAGATGCTTGCTTGCTACTACCCCCACTCTTCTTAGGTGTTGTAGATTGGAGGTGACATCATGGATCCTACATGGATGAGCAAGAGTACATACATGGGCCCAGACACCTATCTCAAGTGCAAGTTAGGGTGGTGAGCCATTAGTAGTCCAGAGCCCTAAACTCATTTTATGAATAGTGTAAGTGAAAACCCCCTCAAATCAGATTGTCTGAATCATTCAGGTGGCTCAGTCTCACACAGTCTTGTGAAACAAAGCTGCTTGGCAAGAGTTATCTGCTTACCAAACCACCATTCTGGAACTAGGGTCAGTCCATGGGGCTCTTGTAAAACACAGTAGTCAGAATTACTGGAAATCCTTAGGGAATCTGGTCAACTTAATGTGTGGTTAAGGAGTGGCCTAAAGGAGAAAAATTGGGACAGGGCCTATGCAAATCCCAGTTCTTGTGCATAGTCACCTGTCCAGGGGTCACTGCACAGTCCTTGACAGTTAAAATGGATTTAGAATTTGTTTGTTTAAGAGACCAGCTCTTGCTCTGTTGCTCAGGCTGAGTGCAATGGTGTGATTACAGCTCACTACAGTTTGGAACTCCTAGACTCAAGTGATCATCTCACCTCAGCTTCCTGAGTAGCTGGGACTACAGGCATGCACCACTGTGCCAGGCTAATTTTAAAACATTTTTTGGTAGAGGTGGGGGTCTCACTATATTGCCCAGGCTGGTCTCAAACTCCACATCTCAAGTGATCATCCCGCTTTGTCCAGAATTGGTGGGTTCTTGGTCTTACTGACTTCAAGAATGAAGCCACGGACCCCCGCAGTGTTACAGTTCTTAAAGGCGGCGTGTCCGGAGTTTGTTCCTTCTGATGTTCAGATGTGTTCAGAGTTTCTTCCTTCTGGTGGGTTCGTGATCTTGCTGGCTCAGGAGTGAAGCTGCAGACCTTCGCGGTGAGTGTTACAGCTCTTAAGGCAGTGCGTCTGGAGTTGTTCCTTCCTCCCGGTGGGCTTGTGGTCTCGCTGGCTTCAGGAGTGAAGCTGCAGACCTTCGTGGTGAGTGTTACAGCTCATAAAGGCAGTGTGGACCCAAAGAGTGAGCAGTAGCAAGATTTATTGCAAAGAGCGAAAGAACAAAGCTCCCACAGTGTGGAAGGGGACCTGAGAGGGTTGCCACTGCTGGCTCAGCCAGCCTGCTTTTATTCTCTTATCTGGCCCCACCCACATCCTGCTGATTGGTAGAGCCCAGTGGTCTGTTTTGACAGGGCACTGATTGGTGCATTTACAATCCCTGAGCTAGACACAAAGGTTCTCCAAGTCCCCACCAGAGTAGCTAGATACAGAGTGTTGATTGGTGCATTCACAAACCCTGAGCTAGACACAGGGTGCTGATTGGTGTGTTTACAAACCCTGAGCTAGATACAGAGTGCCCATTGGTGTATTTACAATCCCTGAGCTAGACATAAAGATTCTCCAAGTCCCCACCAGAGTAGCTAGATACAGAGTGCCGATTGGTGTATTCACAATCCCCCAGCTAGACATAAAGGTTCTCCACGTCCCCACCAGACTCAGGAGCCCAGCTGGCTTCACCCAGTGGATCCCACACCAGGGCTGCAGGTGGAGCTGCCTGCCAGTCCCGCGCTGTGCGCCCGCACTCCTCAGCCCTTGGGTGGTTATGGGACTGGGCGCCCTGGAGCAGGGGGCGGCGCTCATCTGGGAGGCTCAGGCTGCACAGGAGCCCACGGAGAGGGTGGGCAGCTCAGGCATGGCGGGCTGCAGGTCCCCAGCCCTGCCCCACGGGAAGGCAGTTAAGGCCCAGCGAGAAATCAAGGGCAGCGCCGGTGGGCGGGCACTGCTGGGGGACCCAGTACACCCTCCGCAGCTGCTGGCCTGGGTGCTAAGCCCCTCATTGCCTGGGGCCGGCAGGGCTAGCCGGCTGCCCCGAGTGCGGGGCCCGCCAAGCCCACGCCCACCGGGAACTCCAACTGGCCCGCAAGCTCGGCGCACAGCCCCGGTTCCCGCTCGCGCCTCTCCCTCCACACCTCCCTGCAAGCTGAGGGAGCGGGCTCCGGCCTTGGCCAGCCCAGAAAGGGGCTCCCACAGTGCAGCGGTGGGCTGAAGGGCTCCTCAAGTGCCGCCAAAGTGGGAGCCCAGGCAGAGGAGGCACCCAGAGCAAGCGAGGGCTGTGAGGACTGCCAGCACGCTGTCACCTCTCATGGCCTTAGTTCCCCAAAGTGCTGGGATTACATGCATGACCACTGTGTACAGCCAGAAAGTTTTGATTGGCAAATCTTGGCAACCAGGATTTATGTGGGACCAAGTCTGGCCTTGCAATGTCCTGTGTGGGTGCCTTTGCTGGAATTGTTCAGTCCCGGGCACTGCACGTAGACTGGAAAAATTTGGAAAAGCCACTGCAAACCATGATACCCATGGAGATGCAGACTTTGGGGAAGCACCTCAAATGCATATGTGGAAAGGCCGAATTCCAGAAAATATTCAATATTGAAAAATATTTGACCAAATATAGCAAATCAGTAAAACAGATACCTTTTGCAATTAAAAGTCTAAAACATCAATTGATATTAATATGCAATATTAATTAGCATGTGTCTGTGGAAAACCATTTAGATAATATTCACCATTTAATAAATTAATTGTATATTCACTATGTGTTTATCACATTAGGAATGCAATAGAGATGCTTGCTGCATTAAGGATGTACTACATTAGAGATGCAATAATCACTAATATATTTTCTACACCTTCTGTGATAGATATTAAGAGCCATAAAAGTGTTTACAATCTTTAGCTGATTTATGCAATTTTATAATTCAATACTAGGAAATAAGACAGGTGATAAGTCAATGAAAGAATGTATATAATAAGTATCATACATTGTATTGTATATTATTGATAACCAAAATATGTATAAATAGTAGCAAACTTCTAGTTCAACTAATTAATAGAATATTGTACATCAGTTTAAATTAGAATTATGAAGCTATCGGCAAAACTGATTCATGACTACAATTTTATAAATTCATATTTGCATGAAAATAAGGACCAACAAGGAACATGGATATATGAACAACTGATATTTCCAGTGACTCTCATTATTATTTTAATATGTTTGTAGGATGTTAACGTTAAGAGAAATTAAATAAAATTAATGATTGCCCTTAGTCACATATGATTCTTTAACAAAGTGCAATCACCTGTACAATGGTGAAACCTATATCCTGAGGGTTGTTGTTCATTCATTAATTTAATTAATTTTTTTTAGTGGCACATTTTCTCTATGCCAGATACCTTTTTTTAATAAGCACTAATAATTGGTGAAGAATGAAGTCAGGGGAGTGGATCAGGGGTTCTGTTTGGGGCATAAGATGGAGAAACCTACTTTTCTAACCTAGTGGATTTAAATTCATGACACCAAGTAAAGAGTTAATAGTAGATAGCTAACTCTTGAGCTAAAATAATATGTTCATTAATTTCCTAAGTATATGCATAATAGATTAGATAAAAATCAATTATGCAATACTCTAAGGTAATTTCATTTTCTGAAAAGTGTTATGAAAAAACTAAAATTGGCTGGGCGTGGTGGATCATGCCTGTAATCCCAGCACTTTGGAAGGACGAGGTGGGCAGATCACAAGGTCAGCAGATCGAGACCATCCTG
This sequence comes from Homo sapiens, assembly GCF_000001405.40. NCBI lineage: Eukaryota > Metazoa > Chordata > Mammalia > Primates > Hominidae > Homo > Homo sapiens. The sequence continues at coordinate 166,841,166 of NC_000003.12, read as the reverse complement.
ACTAACGCGTTGAAACCCCATCTTTACTAAAATACAATTAGCCAGGCATGGTGGCATGTGCCTGTAATCCCAGCTACTTGGGAGGCTGAGGCAGGAGAATCACTTGAACCCGGGAGGCGGAGGTTGCAGTGAGCTGAGATCACACAACTGCACTCCAGCCTGGGCAACAGAGCGAGACTCTGTCTCAAAAAAATAAAATTAAAAATTAAAACATAAAAATAAAAAACTAAAATTAGATAATGGAGTAGAAAGTCATAGAGTTTTAGATGGAAGTGAGGAGAAAGAAAATTTTATTTGAGAATGTAATAGGACTGATACCTAAACAATGAGGAAGAAACAAGCATGAGGAGAGTTCAGGGAAGAAAATTTCATGTAGAAGAAACATCCATGACAAATCTCCTGAGGGAGATTCAGCCAGATAATACTATTGTAGGCCATGATAAGAACCGTGGTGTTTCCTGAGTATGATGAGTAGCCATTAAATATTTTAGGCAAAAAAGTGTTTTAAACAGACCACTCAGGCTGCACTGAGTTTGTGGCATGGCTGGAGATTAAAAGTGGGAACAAGGAGATACGATTGCTGGCTATTGGAGAGATGAGGTTGTACTTTGTGGTAGCTTGGTCTATGTGGTAGTTAAAGAGGATAAAAAGATACTGGAGCAGATATATTTTAGTGATATAACCAATATACCATGAAATGGAGTAAATTGAGAGAAGAGGAGATCAGGTCTTCTGACGATTCCAAGTTAATTTCAAGGGACACATTAAACATACAATAGAAGATTAAATGCTTATTGTGAAATAACTATGCAAAAGTAGTTGGTGGTTGCTAACCTAAAATAACTAAACTCATTGTGCACCAGGTATTGTAAAGTATAGAGATGATGTATTTAAAATCGCCTATGTACTTTCATAGCACTATATTCGTATCTCCTACATATCACTTATTCAACTTTGTTTAGTTGAATAATTCTACTATTAAACTGTGTTACTTTGGTGCTCACTAATCTTTGTGCCAATAGTAATTAGATCAAAGCCTGACCCAGAGCAGAAGCTTAGTAAATATTCATGAATGAATGAATCTAATTTGAGGTGGAAAATTGAAAAGAAAATAATTCCATATATAAGATAATAGCAACGTACTTTTTTTGTTTTGTGATTCAGATCCTAAATTATATAGAATAAGCTTTGTGTTCAGAGACTGGTAAGGCATAGAAGTTGATTGCTGAGACATAGAAGCAAGCATTAGAGTTTATGTGAATGGAATTCCAATCCACCATAATGTATAACCAGTCACGGAAGACAAATATACTTAACAGTTGAAATAAGCATTGTAGAATTTTTTTCATTGTGAGGGTCAAGTGAAGACCCATTTGCTCTACTCTTTAATCCTTTTTATTGCTCTATGTATATTGCACAGATATGTGTAAAGTGTAGCATAATACACATTTTGTCAACAGAATACAAAAGTGATTTAAGTGAGAAAGAGAAGAAGATACTGATATCTAATTCACAGGTCAAGTTTTTAATGCTACATATTGGATAGAATGTTCTTTAATAAACCTCTAGCGAAGCCAGAAATTAGGATCCTTTAATAGAACTGTCTAGGGTCTCCCTGTTAAAATTGATGTATAATGTTAGTTTTTAATAGATGCTTTTTATCAAATTAAGAAAGTGCCATTCTATTTTTAGGTTACTGAAACTTTTATTAAACTGGAAATTGGTGGTGAATTGCACCTTATCTTTTACATAATCTGTGAAGCTGTTTTTTGTCTTTTAGTCTTTTAAGATAATACATCATAGTATTATTAGTTATTCAAATGTTGACTTCGTTTTCATTGCTGAGTTAAATTCTATTTACTCAAGGTATATCAATGTTTTGATATATTGTTGTATTTGATAAGCTAATATTTTATTTGGAGTCTTTGCCTGTGCATTCATAAATAACATTCAACCATAGATAAGGTTTTTATTTGTACTTTTCTGTACAATCTTGGTAGTATAATTATGCTAGCTTCCTATAATTTATTTGTAAGTATTTAATTTTTAAAAATATAATGAAGCAATTTAAATAATATCGATGCTATTTAAAATTTTCATAACATTTTCTGTAAAATTATCCATGTTTATTTTGTGAGAGATAATTTGTTCAATTTGTTCTGTGCTTCTTAGCCTGATTAGCATTTTAATTATTGAATCAATTTGTTAAAACTTTTACAATTTAGTGTAATAAAGTACATATAGAAATATCCTATAACATTTTAATGTCCTCTTATTCACTTGTAGTTTTTTTGTATTTAATATTATTTTTGTGTTTTTTCTCTTAACATTTTAGCATATTTGTCATTAAAAATTCTTTTCATAGATTTCGCTCTTGACTTATGTTGGTTTATTATTCAATTAATTCTCAAATTTACTTACTTATTGCTCCCTTTCCATACTTTATTTTTTTAGCTTCCTTACTTGTATCCGTGATTTACTTATTTTCAGTCAATGTTTCATGATAACATAATTTAAAGCTATGTATTCTTTTCCTTTTAATAGCAATTGGTCCCCTCCTGTTATTTGGGTATTTAAAAAATTTGTAACTGAAACATATTCTAGCAACAAGTAATGTTATACCATTTATTCAAGCAGAAAATTACAGAATGGTTTATAACAGGTGTGTCTAATCTTTTGGCTCCTACATTGGAAGAAAAAGAATTATCTCAGACCACAAATAAAATACACTAACACTAACGATAGCTGGATGAGCAAAAAAAATCCTAATGTTTTATGAAAATTTATCAATTTGTGTTGGGCCTCATTCAAAGCTGTCTTGGGCTGCATGCAGCCCATGGACTGTGGGCTGAACAAGCTTACCTTAAAATATATGACAGCAAAATATCTTTTGTAAATAATGTTCAAAAAGCAATGTTAAAATAAAAACATATCTTTGCATTTTGAATACTGATTGTCAAATAAAGGAAAACTCTAGTGTCTTAATAATAATAACGGATTTTCTACAGGTGTACTTTTTATCATCGAAATATAATTTACATGTAGGCCACATACAAATTTTAAACTTACAGCCCGATCAATTTTTACATATTTATGCACCCATGCACCTATCACCCAGGTTAAGATATAGAATATTCCCATTATACTAGGAAGCTCCCTTTGTCCTTTTTAAATCAACACATCTCTGCCATTATTTTGATTTCTATCACTACAAAGAGAAAATACAGTCCTCTCTATACTCACTCAATACCTCATTTCTGACACCAAATGTATGAATTTTTTTTCGCCACGCCAACCGACTCTCCAACTCTCTGGACACTCCCTGGGTGCCCTACAACATAACTCAATTCTGATACTACCTATTTAAAGTTAGTCCAGATGCCACAGATTAAGAGCTCAGTTCCGTAAGATTGCCCCCTACTGGACATCAGTCACAAGTAGTAGGTTCCCAGGTTACTCTCACTTCTGTCTGACTTGGCTATAATTCATGGATTCCCATTATACTCTCCTCATGTTTGAGAATTTATTGTAATGGCACAAAGAACTCAGGGAAACACTTACTGAAGTTTATCTCTTTATTATAAGGCAATGATAAAGGATACAGATAAGAAGCCAGATTGAGAGGTACATAGAGCAAGCTCTGGAAGGGTCTCAAGCATCTCCATGGAGCTGGGATATACCACTCTCCTGGCATATGGATGTGTTCATCAGCCCAGAAGCTCTCCAAACTTTAGGGATTTTTATAAAAGCTTCTAATGTATGCTTGATAATTGTTAACTCAATCTCTAGTTCCTCTCCTCTCCTTGGAGGATGAGGAGTAGGGCTACAAGCTCCAAGCTTCTAATCATGACTTGGTTTTTTTTAGTGACCAGCCCCCATCCAAGAGCTATACAAAAGGCCACCAAGAGATACCTCATTAGAAAAAAAAAAAAATTCTATCCTCCAGTAAATCCCAAGGGATTTAGAAACCCTATGTCAGAAACTAAGATCAAAGACCAAACACTAGAAACAAAGATTCTCCTAGCACCTCTATTGCTTTGGAAATTACAAGGGTTTTAGGAACTCTGTGCCAAAAACTGGGGGCAGAGACCAAATATACATTTCCTATTATGTCACCATCACTATAGATTGGTTTGGCTTGTTTTGAAAATTCATAAGATGTAATGACATAAAATATGCTTGTTTATGTCTGGCTTCTTTTACGCAACATAGTGATTTTGAAAATCACTTATGTTGTTGCAAATAAAATTTTTTATTTATGTGCCAAATTTCCATGTGTGATTAATAACACAGTCCTTTTATTCATTTTTTCTCTTAATGTACATTTGGAATGCATCCAGTTACTGTCTTTTATAAATAAAGCTGCCATGAATATTCTTATAGAATCTTCTTGTGAACATACATTTTTATTTATTTTGTAAATACTAGAATTAAAATTTTTGGCTTGTGGAAAAGATGTAAGATTAATTTTAATAGAAACTTTCAGTTTCTCAAAGTGGTTGTACTATTTCACATTCCCAAAGGAACAAAGTTTAACTTGCATTTCTCCATTAACTAATATTGCTTAGCACCTTAATACACACATATACACATATAATTTGATTAAATCACTCTTACGTGAGTGTTTGTTCAAGTCATAGGACCAGTTTATAAATTGTGCTTTTTGGTCTTCTTATTACTGATATGTAGATGTGCTTTATATATTATCAAAATAAAATTTGTCATGTAATTATATTGCAAATCTTTTCTCTCATTGTGATTTAATTTTGATTGTTATTTTGATGAGCAGATGTTTTTAATTATTTAGAAATATATGTATTTTAAATGCATATGTCTTACACGTTTTCTATGAAATTTATTACTAGCTTTTAAAAAATAATTGATAACATCCTAAATGATATTTTAAAATAATTACCAATATTTCCCACTTTTGGCTACAATATACATTCAATTTTTCTGATACCTGTATTTACCTTATGTCTTGTGAGAATTCTGGAAAAATTTCCAGAAGTTAAAATCTTCAGTGAATAAAAATAAGTAACAATAAATTTGGTAGAAGGTAAGAAGTTCTATATTTACAGGGATTATTTAGTCAAGTGTTTAATTACATCATATGGCATTCACTATACTGTTGTCAGCACTTTCTTAATGGTAGTAAAATTCCTGTGCTTTCATTTTTTTTTTTGACGGGGTGGGGGGTTCTAGTTTAAATTCAACTCCATTGCAAAACACTTCCAGTTCCTAGTACTATCTCTCAATCTATCTTCTGATAAGAATCTAACTGAGTAAACAACCCTCTGCTACTTTTAAATTGTTCCTTAAGCAAGTAATCTTTGCTAATGTAAATTGCACCATTTGGGGAAAATGTTTTTATTTAATTTATAAGACTGGGTAAAAATTATTATCACACAAATACTTTTGCATTTTCTTTTCAGCCTCCCTGAGAGCTCTGCTTGGTCTGTGTACTGCTCAATTTCCCCACCCAACCTGGAGTGGGACTACATCAAACTTAAAAGCTTCTGCACAGCAAATAAGACAATCAACAGAGTGAAAAGACAACCTATACAATGGGAAAAGATATTTTGCCAACTATGTATCTGACAAGAAGATAATTTCCAAAATATATAAGAAACTCTTACAACTTAACAGCAAAAGAAAGAAAGAAAGAAAAGAAAGAAGGAAAGAGAAAATGAAGAAAGAAGAAAAGAAAGAGAGAAAGAAATTTAAAAATGAATGAGCCAAGGGCTTGAACAGGCATTTCTTCAAAGGACACATACAAATAACCAATAAGTGCATGAAGAGGTGTTTCACACTACTAATCATTAGGGAAACACAAACCAAAACCACAATGAGGTATCATCTTATACTTGTTTTAAGATGGCTATTAATAAAAACATGCGAAATAAGTATCGGTGAGGATGTGGAGAAATTGGAACTCTTGTACATTATGGGAACATAAAATGGTGCGATAGCTACGGAACACAGAAAAAAAGGTTCCTCAAAAGATTAACTGCTATATGATCTAGCAATTCCACTTCTGGTCATATATCCAAAAGAATTGAATTCAGAATTTCAAAGAGAGCTCCATACACATTGCATTATTATTTACAATAGCTAAGATATAGAAAAAATTTAAGTGTCCATTGCACTTGATTTGATGAAGAAAATGTGCTATATGCATGCAATGGAATATTATTCACCCTTAAAAAATTAAGTCCTACCATTTGTGACAACATGGATTTACCCAGAGGATATTATGCTAAATAAAATAAACTAGTCAAAGAAGGATAAACATGGCATGATTCCACTTACATGAATGGCTGCCTGGAGCTTAGGGAAAACGGCAGTTCTTCAGAGGGTGTCAAGTTTTGATAATGCTCGATGAAAAAGTTCTAGAGATCTGTTGCACAACAAAATGCCTACAGTTAATGCAGTATTGTATATTGTGCACTTCAAAACTTACTAAGAGTGTGGATCTCACTTTAAATGTTCTTACTACCAGTACCACAGCCAAGATCATCAAAAAACAAAAGGAAAAATAAAAACAAATGAACACAGAAAATCTTGTATAGTTTTGGATATAACCATTATCTTGACTTTGATTATCACTTCATAATTGTTTGCATATATCCAAGTTCATGAAATTGTACATATTAAATATGTGCAGTTTTTTGCTTTTTCGTTTGTTTTTTTGATACCGTCTCGCTCTGTCAACCAGGCTGGACTGCAATGGTGCGATCTCTGCTCACTGCAACCTCTGTCTCCCTGGTTCAAGCGATTCTCCTGCCTCAGCCTCCCAAGTAGCTGGGATTACAGGTGCCCACCACCATGCCCAGCTAATTTTTGTATTTTAGTAGAGACAAGGTTTCACCATTTTGGTCAGTCTGGTCTCAAACTCCTGACTCTCAGGTGATCCACCCGCCTTGATCTCCCAGTTCTGGGATTACGGGCGTGAACCACCATGCCCGGCCTGTGCAGTTCTTTGTATATCAGTTGTATCATAATAAAGATATTAAAAACAAAGTAATGATAATATGAAAAGACAAAAATGAAAGAACTACCACCAACACCACAAGCACCAAACCTGTCATGTGGTTCTCACAGGCAAGTTTTCTTAGTATAATATAAACCACATCTTTATATTTTGTGCAGTCAGTGGTAAAAGAAGGTGAAAAACAAACAAAAAAAGCTAATGGATTGGGCATTGTATATTAATGAAGGAGACTTTCTTAAAAGAGAAAGCCACCATACCGTATGCTACTTTTTCTTCTGATTCTTTTGAGGAATGATTACTCTTTCAAGTAATTTGCTCATTTTCTCATTGGATTGTTTTATTTTTGATTTGCAGGAGTTATTTATAATTTTTGAATATAATTCCTTAGACCTATACATGCATTTCAAGTATTCTCCAGTCTGATTTTTCTGTTTATTTTCTTAATGATGTCTTTTGTAAGCATTTTTTAAATGAAATCCAATACATTATTTTTGAAACTTTGAAATTTTAAAGGAGTCTGTTTAAGTATGATTCTTTCTTTTAATTCACTCTTAGCAGCACTTGGAGGAGTCTTTCAAACTGAAGACTTATCTCTATCTTTACTTCTGAAGAATTTGTTATTTTTTTTTTTTTTTTTTTTTTTTTTTTTTGAGACGGAGTCTCGCCCTTTAACCCAGGCCAGACCTTAGCGGCGCTATCTCGGCTCACTGCAAGCTCCGTCTCCCTGGTTCACACCGTTCTCCTGCCTCAGCCTCCCGATTAGCTGGGACTGCAGGCGCCCACCACCGTGCCCAGCTAATTTTTTGTATTTTTAGTAGAGACGGGGTTTCGCCTTGTTAGCCAAGATGGTCTCTACCTCCTGACCTCATGATCTGCCCGCCTCTGCCTCCCAAAGTGCTGGGATTACAGGCATGAGCTACCGCGCCCGGCCGAGTATTTCTTTTTAAGAATTTATTTCATTCATTTTTTTTCCTGCCAACTTTTCGGAGGCTCTTGTTGGACATGTGGAACCATCAAGTACTCTTTATTTCTTTTTTTTCCTCCTATAATTTCCATATAATTACACTATGTTGTGAGTTATTTCTTCTTTTTTTAAAAAGTTTCCATTTGTTATACAAAAGAATACCAAACATGTAAAATATACAATAGATATATTAAAATATTTAATCTTTTAAAACTACTTGTTCAGTGGTTCTGTCAGAGGCATGTGAACGAGAGCAACTCCATCTTAAACAGAAGCTGGGTAAAATGAGTCTGAAGCCTACTGGGCTGTTTTCCCAGAGGGTTAAGGCATTCTAAGTCACAGGATGAGATAGCATGTCAGCACAAAATACAGGTCATAAAGACCTTGCTGATAAAACAGGTTGTAGAGAAGGAGACGGCCAAAACCCACCAGAACCAAAATGGCGATGAGAGTGACCTCTGGTTGTCCTCACTGCTACACTCCCACCAACGCCCTGAAGTTTACAAATGCTATGGCAACGTCAGGAAGTTACCTATATGTTCTAAAAAGGGGAGGCATGAATAATCAGACCTATTGTTTAGCATGTCATCAAGAAATAACCATAAAAATGGGCAACCAGCAGCCCTCGGGGCTTTCATTTTGCACTGCGGACTCACCCTAAATTCTTTCTTGCGTGAGATCCAGGAACCCTCTCTTGGGGTCTGGATCAGGACCCCTTTCCTGTAACAGTTTCCTTTTTATAACTTACTTTCTTGTTTTATAGATATTATATCTTCTTAAATATAACAGATTGCATTAAAGAATTCTTTAATTTTTTACTTCTTTCCCAATTTAGTTTTTCTTGACCTTTCTCTTTCAAGTGGCTGGCATTCCTCATATGCTGGAGATCTTACTTATCTATGCATATTTTAGAAGAAAGAATGGGTGGTTAGCTTCAAGTTTCTTTACAGTTGTGTAAATACTGTTTCTTTCCAACTGAACAAGAAGCTGTCTATATGCTTTACTATTTGACGAGAAAGAAAGCAGGTCTAAAGCTGTCTATAATACTTTGGGTTCTCTCTATGACAGAATTAGAGGTTATAACAGATTTTTTTGTATCCAATTGTTTTGTGCCTATATGTACCATAGTCTTCTTGGCCTAGCAAGAACTTTTTTAACCTACATTACATTATAATGTATGCAACTCTTATGCAGCTCAGAATGTTAACTGAGAAGAATTCTTTCCCTGTTGGAAATATAGTTTCTTAATGAGTATGACATTAATGCAAAGGGAGTTACTGGCTTATATATCAGTAACTAGGGCTTCATTCTATGATGCTGGAGGCACCCATATCTATTATAGAACTATAATTCACAAAAGATATGAACTCTCATATCCCTGAGGTGATGCTTTTTTCTCCACACCAGAATGTGCTGAAGAAACATTTTGCTAAAGAAATGTTTAATGGGGTTATATAATGTGAGCATGCAGGCTAGTAAATTAGTGGAGATTAGCTTTCTTAAGCTCTTGAAGAACTACGAGATCTAGATCAGTGCTGTGTGATTAACATTTCTGTGATGATGGTATGTATTACATCTGTATGCCTAATAGGACAGCCACTAGACATATGTGGCAATTGCACACTTGAAACATGACTAGTGTGAGTGAATAATTGAATTTTAAATTGTATCTAATTAAGTTAATTCAAATTTAAATATATAGCCACATTTAGCTAGTGGCCGCCACATTAGACCTATTAGACAGCCTAGATCTAGAAACTCAGTATCAGTTTATCATTCACTAATAGAGTTAATATCTATCTTATTGAGCTGTTGTGAGGATAGCATGATATAATACGTAATACACAGTAAGCACTCCACAGATATTTGTGAAATTATTGAGGGTTAATTTTTCAGTACACATACCAAAGCCAGCCAAAACATCTACCCAGACTATTATCTTAATACCTGGTGTCAATTTTTAGTGAAAATGAATTGTTATCAACTGACCCCTGATGATTTTATTTTCTGTATTTTGATACATATTGAATAAAATTTATGTCTTTACTTTCTGTCTGAAAATCAGTCTTATTTTTGCAGCATTGTATAATTTGGTAAACCATACTTCGAGCTCAGTGATTCAGATAAATTCAATTTAATTCATTTTAGTAAGTTTAAGTATGCCACATGCTCTTTTTCTGGCTGTTTCTTTCTCTTATAGACTTAAGCCTTCAATTTTTTTTTGATGAAATAATAAAGGAATCTTTGTGAAATAGCAAAGATCTGTTTGTCTATCTATTTACATATCATTGTATTTACAGGTGTAGATAGAGAGTGATTAAAAACTTTTCACGTTAAATTAAAATGACTCATAGTTTATATAATATTTACTATGAGTATATATTCTGTAAAGTATAAGGAGGGATTTACTAATAAGTTTGTTCATTCTCTATTAAAAAGCATCATGGGGTATAGGATAAAATTTCAGAACACCTACATTTCAGTAATGATTCTGTAACCTTGGCACTATAACTTTGGGGCTAATTATGGAATCTCTCTAAGCTTCAGCCTTTGCATCTATCACATAGAAATGGCAGTCCAAAAGTCTAGTTTAAGATCTTTTGTGGTAATTAGTTAAAACAATAAAAATTAGTAAGTAATTAATTAAAAATATGGTAGATTTTTAAAATTCCCATTGGATATTTAAAAGTTCAACATAAATTTTTGAATTAAATAATATTACAATGTTTAATAATACAATGGAAAATAATTCTAGATTGTATATCTGCTACCACCATTTAAAAAGCCAGTTGGCCTTAAGCAAACATGTGAACTTCCATTCCCCTACCTCAAAGTGTGGATAATAATACCTGCCTTCTCCAAACTCCCTGGGACTATTGTTAAGGCCCAGGAAAATTCACATGAAAACAATTGTATGAACTAATGTGCTTATTATTAAAACATTATAAGACAATACCAAATCACTGAGTGAATAACACACAAAGACATCAGGTGCCTTGGGGCTCAGAGAAGTGACAAATTTCCAGCCTGAGCTGGACAAGGAAAGCTCTATAGAGGAGGGATTGAAAGCAAACAGGAATGCGCTACACTCAACCCCATGTTTCAACATTTTTTATTTGCATTCCTCTCATTTCGAAATCTAAAACAAATTAAGATAAACTTGAGGGTCAAGGAAAGGGCAGCGGTAGATAATAGTTCTGTTTAATGAAATATTACTGTGTCAACACAGAAATACAGAGTAGTCAAATAAATTGTTAGTGTTTCATTTTATATTCTGTGAAGTCTGTTTTATAATCAGCAGAGACACCAAATTCATGATATGTCAGAATCATTTCTATTTTATTTCAAATGCTATTTAATATCAATAAAAATAAAAACAAAGGTATAATAAAATATAATAGCTTGATTTCCTTGTATTCTGTCCTTGTTCCTTAATTTCAATGCAAATTACATTTCATCTCCTGATGATATTCAGTTATTTTTGTTCTCCAAATATGTCAGGCCTCTGAGCCCAAGCCAAGCCATTGCATCCCCTGTGACTTGCATGTATACATCCAGATGGCCTGAAGTAACTGAAGATCCACAAAAGAAGTAAAAACAGCCTTAACTGATGACATTCCACCATTGTGATCTGTTCGTGCCCCACCCTAACTGATCAATCTCCCCCACCCTTAAGAAGGTACTCTAATTCTCCCCACCCTTGAGAATGTACTTTGTGAGATCCACCCCTGCCCTCAAAACATTGCTCTTAACTTCACCACCTATCCCAAAACCTATAAGAACTAATGATAATCCACCACCCTTTGCTGACTCTCTTTTCGGACTCAGCCCACCTGCACCCAGGTGAAATAAACAGTTTTATTGCTCACACAAAGCCTGTTTGGTGGTCTCTTTACATGGACACACATGAAATTTGGTGCCGTGACTCGGATCGGGGGACCTCCCTTGGGAGATAAATCCCCTGTCCTCCTGCTCTTTGCTCCATGAGAAAAGATCCACCTATGACCTCAGGTCCTCAGACTGACCAGCCCAAGAAACATCTCACCAATTTCAAATCCGGTAAGCGGCCTCTTTTTACTCTCTTCTCCAACTTCCCTCACTATCCCTCAACCTCTTTCTCCTTTCAATCTTGGCACCACACTTCAATCTCTCCCTTCTCTTAATTTCAATTCCTTTCATTTTCTGGTAGAGACAAAGGAGACATGTTTTATCCGTGGACCCAAAACTCCGACGCCAGTCACGGACTGGGAAGGCAGCCTTCCCTTGGTGTTTAATCATTGCAAGGATGCCTCTCTGATTATTCACCCAGGTTTCAAAGGTGTCAGACCACACAGGGACGCCTGCCTTGGTCCTTCACCCTTAGCGGCAAGTCCCGCTTTTCTGGGGGAAGGGCAAGTACCCCAACTCCTTCTCTCCATGTCTCTACCTCTTCTCTGCTTTCCTGGGGGAGGGGCAAGTACCCCTCAACCCCTTCTCCTTCACCCTTAGCGGCAAGTCCCACTTTTCTAGGGGGCAAGAACCCCCAATCCCTTATTTCCGTGCCCCGACCCCTTTCCTGCTTTTCTGGAGGGTAAGAACCCCCAAACCCCTTCCCTCCATGTCTCTACTCTCTCTTTTCTCTGGGCTTGCCTCCTTCACTGTGGGCAACCTTCCACCCTCCATTCCTCCTCCTTCTCCCTTAGCCTGTGTTCTTAAGAACTTAAAACCTCTTCAACTCTCACCTGACCTAAAATCTAAGCATCTTGTTTTCTTCTGCAATGCCAGTTGACCCCAATACAAACTCAACAGTAGTTCCAAATAGCCAGAAAATGGCACTTTCAATTTTTCCATCCTGCAAGATCTAAATAATTCTTGTCGTAAAATGGGCAAAAGGTCTGAGGTGCCTGACTTCCCAGCATTCTTTTACACATCGGTCCCTCCCTAGTCTCTGTGTCCAGTGCAACTCGTCCCAAATCTTCTTCCTTCTTTCCCTCCTGCCAGTCCCCTCAGTCCCAACCCGAAGCATTGCTGAGTCTTTCTAATCTTCCTTTTCTACAGAACCATCTGACCTCTCCCCTCCTCGCCAGGCTGAGCTAAGTCCCAATTCTTCCTCAGCCTCTGCTCCTCCACCCTATAATCCTTTTATCACCTCCCCTCCTCACACCTGGTCCCACTTACAGTTTCATACCATGACTGGCCCTCCCCCACCTGCCCAGCAATTTACTCTTAAAAAGGTGGCTGGAGCTAAAGGCATAATCAAGGTTAATGCTCCTTTTTCTTTATCCCAAATCAGATAGCATTTAGGCTCTTTTTCATCAAATATAAAAACCCAGCCCAGTTCATGGCTCGTTTGGCAGCAACCCTGAGACGCTTTACAGCCCTAGACCCTAAAAGGTCAAAAGGCCGTCTTATTCTCAAAATACATTTTATTACCCAATCTGCTCCTGACATTAAATAAAACTCCAAAAATTAAATTCCGGCCCTCAAACCCCACAACAGGATTCAATTAACCTCGCCTTCAAGGTGTACAATAATAGAAAAAAGTTGCAATTACTTGCCTCCACTGTGAGACAAACCCCAGCCACACCTCCAGCACACAAGAACTTCCAAACACCTGAACCGCAGCAGCCAGGCATTCCTCCAGAACCTCCTCCCCCAGGAGCTTGCTACAAGTGCCAGAAATCTGACCACCAGGCCAAGGAATGCCTACAGCCCAGGATTCCTCCTAAGCCATGTCGCATCTTTGCGGGACCCCACTGGAAATCAGACTGTTCAACTCACCTGGAAGCTACTCCCAGAGCCTCTGGAACTCTGGCCCAAGGCTCTCTGACGGACTCCTTCTCGGTTTAGCGGCTGAAGACTGATGCTGCTCGATCACCTCGGAACCCCCGTAGACCATCAAGGACGCCGAGTTTCGGGTAACTCTCACAGTGGAAGGTAAGTCCATCCCCTTAGTCAATACAGAGGCTACCCACTCCACATTACCTTCTTTTCAAGGGCCTGTTTCCCTTGCCCCCATAACTGTTGTGGGTATTGACGGCCAGGCTTCTAAACCCCTGAAAACTCCCCCACTCTTGTGCCAACTTGGACAACACTCTTTTATGCACTCTTTTTTAGTTATCCCCACCTGCCCAGTTCACTTATTAGGCCAAAATATTTTAACCAAATCATCTGCTTCCCTGACTATTCCTGGACTACAGCCGCATCTCATTGCCGCACTTCTTCCCAACCCAAAGCCTCCTTCGCATCTTCCTCTCATATCCCCCCACCTTAACCCACAAGTATGGGACATCTCTACTCCTTCCCTTGCAACCGATGACATGCCCATTACCATCACATGTCCATTACCATCTCATTAAAACCTAATCACTCTTACCCGGCTCAACACCAATATCCCATCCCACAGCATGCTTTAAAAGGATTAAAGCCTGTTACCACCCGCCTGCTACAGCATGGGCTTCTAAAACCTATAAACTCTCCTTACAATTTCCCCATTTTACCTGTCCAAAAACCGGACAAGTCTTACAGATTAGTTCAGGATCTGCGCCTTATCAACCAAATTGTTTTGCCTATCCACCCTGTAGTGCCCAACCCGTACACTCTTCTGTCCTCAATACCTTCCTCCACAACTCACTATTCCGTTCTCGATCTTAAAGATGCTTTTTTTACTATTCCCCTGCACGCCTCATCCCAGACTCTCTTTGCTTTCACTTAGACTGACCCTGACACCCATTAGGTTCAGCAAATTACCTGGGCTGTACTGCCGCAAGTCTTCATAGACAGCCCCCATTACTTCAGTCAAGCTCAAATTTCATCCTCATCTGTTACCTATCTCGGCACAATTCTCATAAAAACACATGTGCTTTCCCTGCTGATTGTGTCCGATTAATCTCCCAAACCTCAATCCCTTACAAAACAACAACTCCTTCCCTTCCTAGGCATAGTGCAGTCAGAATTCTTACAAAAGAGCCAGGACCACACCCTATAGCCTTTCTGTCCAAACAACTTGACCTTACTGTTTTAGCCTAGCCATCATGTCTCCCTGCAGCGGCTGCTGCCACCCTAATACTTTTAGAGGCCCTCAAAATCACAAACTATGCTCAACTTACTCTCTACATTTCTCATAACTTCCAAAATCTATTTTCTTCCTCATACCTGATGCATATACTTTCTGCTCCCCGGCTCCTTCAGCTGTACTCACTCTTTGTTAAGTCCCACAATTACCATTGTTCCTGACCGGGACTTCAATCCGGTCTCCCACATTATTCTGGAAACCACACCTGACCCTCATGACTGTATCTCTCTGATCCACCTGACATTCACCTCATTTCCCCATATTTCCTTCTTTCCTGTTCCTCACCCTGATCATGCTTGATTTATTAATGGCGGTTCCACCAGGCCTAATCACCACACACCAGCAAAGGCAGGCTATGCTATAGTACAGATCACTAGCCCGCCTCTTAAAACCTCTCATTTCCTTTCCATCGTGGAAATCTATCCTCAAGGAAATAACTTCTCAGTGTTCCATCTGCTATTCTACTACTCCTCAAGGATTATTCAGGCCCCCCTCCCTTCCCTACACATCAAGCTCAAGAATTTGCCCCCACCCAGGACTGGCAAATTAGCTTTACTCAACATGCCCCGAGTCAGATAACTAAAATACCTCTTAGTCTAGGTAGACACTTTCACTGGATAGGTAGAGGCCTTTCCTACAGGGTCTGAGAAGGCCACCACAGTCATTTCTTCCCTTCTGTCAGACATAATCCCTCAGTTTAGCCTTCCCACCTCTATACAGTCTGATAACTGACCAGCCTTTATTAGTCAAATCAGCCAAGCAGTTTTTCAGGCTCTTAATATTTAGTGAAACCTTTATATCCCTTACAGTCCTCAGTCTTCAGGAAAAGTAGAACAGACTAACGGTCTTTTAAAAACACACCTCACCAAGCTCAGCCACCAACTTAAAAAGGACTAGACAATACTTTTACCACTTTCCTTTCTCAGAAGTCAGACCTGTCCTCAGAATGCTACAGGGTACAGCCCATTTGAGCTCCTGTATAGATGCTCCTTTTTATTAGGCCCCAGTCTCATTCCAGAGAGCAGACTAACTTAGACTGTGCCCCCAAAAACGAGTCATCCCTACTATCTTCTGTCTGGTCATACTCCTATTCTCCATTATCAACTACTTATAAATGCCCTACTCTTGTTTACACCACCAGTTTACACTGTTTCTTCAAGCCATCACAGCTGATATCTCTTGGTGCTATCCCGAAACTGCCACTCTTAACTCCCTCTTAGAGTGGATAGATGATCTTTGCTGGCAGGGCATCCTCCAATACTTCCACCCTGATGAAGTTCTATTCTTTACTTTTATACTCACTCTTATTCTCATTCCCAATCTTATGCCACCCTTTACCTCTCCCCAGCTATCTCCACCACACTATCAACCTTACCCATTCTCTCCTAGCCGTTTCTAATCCCTCCTTAGTGAAAAACTGCTGGCTTTGCATTTCCCTTCCTTCCAGTGCCTACCCAGCTGTCCCTGCCTTACAGACAGACTGGGCAACATCTCCTGTCTCCCCACACCTCCGAACTTCCTTTAACAGCCCTCACCTTTACCCTCCTGAAAAACTCATTTACTTTCTAGACAGGTCCAGCAAGACTTCCCCAGACATTTCACATCAGCAAGCTGCCGCCCTCCTCTGCACTTATTTAAAAAACCTTTCTCCTTATATTAACTCTACTCCCCCCACATTTGGACCGCTCACAACACAAACTACTATTCCTGTGGCCGCTCCTTTATGTATCTCTCGGCAAAGACCCACTGGAATTCCCCTAGGTAATCTTTCACCTTCTCGATGTTCCTTTACTCTTCATCTCCGAAGCCCAACTACACACATCACTGAAACAAATGGAGCCTTCCAGCTCCATATTACAGACAAGCCCTCTATCAATACTGACAAACTTAAAAACGTTAGCAGTAATTATTGCTTAGGAAGACACTTGTCCTGTATTTCACTCCATCCTTGGCTATTTTCCCCTTGCTCATCAGACTCTCCTCCCAGACCCTCTTCTTGTTTACTTATACCCAGCCCCAAAAATAACAGTGAAAGTTTGCTCGTAGATGCTCAACGTTTTCTCATATACCATGAAAATCGAACCTCCCCCTCTACGCAGTTACCCCATCAGTCCCCATTACAACCTCTGACTGCTGCCCCCCTAGGTGGATCCCTAAGAGTCTGGGTACAAGACACCCCTTTCAGCACTCCTTCTCACCTTTTTACTTTACATCTCCAGTTTTGCCTAGTACAAAGTCTCTTCTTCCTCTGTGGATCCTCTACCTACATGTGTCTACCTGCTAATTGGACAGGCACATGCACACTAGTTTTCCTTACCTCCAAAATTCAATTTGCAAATGGGACTGAAGAGCTCCCTGTTCCCCTCATGACACCGACACGACAAAAAAGAGTTATTCCACTAATTCCCTTGATGGTTGGTTTAGGACTTTCTGCCTCCACTGTTGCTCTCGGTACTGGAATAGCAGGCATTTCAACCTCTGTCACGACCTTCCGTATCCTGTCTAATGACTTCTCTGCTAGCATTACAGACATATCACAAACTTTATCAGGCCTCCAGGCCCAAGTTGACTCTTCAGCTGCAGTTGTCCTCCAAAACCGCCAAGGCCTTGACTTACTCACTGCTGAAAAAGGAGGACTCTGTATATTCTTAAATGAAGAGTCTTATTTTTACCTAAATCAATCTGGCCTGGTGTATGACAACATAAAAAAACTCAAGGATAAAGCCCAAAATCTTGCCAACCAAGCAAGTAATTATGCTGAACCCCCTTGGCCACTCTCTAATTGGATGTCCTGGGTCCTTCCAATTCTTAGTCCTTTAATACCCATTTTTCTCCTTCTTTTTTTCAGACCTTGTATCTTCCATTTAGTTTCTCAATTCATCCAAAACCATATCCAGGCCATCACCGATCATTCTATATGACAAATGTTTCTTCTAACGTCCCCACAATATCACCACTTACCACAAGATCTCCCTTCAGCTTAATCTCTCCCACTCTAGGTTCCCACACCGCCCCTAATCCCGCTTGAAGCAGCCCTGAGAAACATCGCCCATTCTCTCTCCATACCACCCCCCAAAATTTTCGCCGCCCCAACACTTCAACACTATTTTGTTTTATTTTTCTTATTAATATAAGAAGGCAGGAATGTCAGGCCTCTGAGCCCAAGCCAAGCCATCGCATCTCCTGTGACTTGCATGTATACATCCAGATGGTCTGAAGTAACTGAAGATCCACAAAAGAAGTAAAAATAGCCTTAACTGATGACATTCCACCACTGTGATTTGTTCCTGCCCCACCCTAACTGATCAATGTACTTTGTAATCTCCCCCACCCTTAAGAAGGTACTTTGTAATTCTCCCCACCCTTGAGAATGTACTTTGTGAGATCCACCCCTGCCTGCAAAACATTGCTCTTAACTTCACCACCTATCCTAAAACCTATAAGAACTAATGATGATCCACCACCCTTTGCTGACTCTCTTTTCAGACTCAGCCCACCTGCACCCAGGTGAAATAAACAGCTTTATTGCTCACACAAAGCCTGTTTGGTGGTCTCTTCACACGGACGCGCATGAAAAAATATACTATCTGAATTTAACAAACTATTGCTAAATTTTTTGAAATAAATTTTTAAATACTTTCTCATTTTGTACCAAAAGTACAAATTTTACAAAATGATTTATGATTTTAATAATTACTACTAACAAAACATTTTTAAGGAGGATGATTCCATTTGGATTATTAAAGTAATTTATTATAAAATGTAATTATCTTTTTAAAAGTGTTTCTTGTTTCCAAGATAACTCAACTGTTTATTTTTGTAAGCTTTTTTCTTGGATGGAGATACTGTTTCAAAGTATTTTATTTTAGGTGAATATCAGTAAAGAGCCACTCTCAAAACAACAATCACTTGCAAAGATTCCCCTAGGATTAGATAGATTGTCAACATTTTTCTAAATTGTTATTTTCCCAGAAAATGTATGACTCCTTGTCTACTTTTTTGAAACAATAAAATCTAAAAAAATTATTTACAATCTCTAATTTCTAGAATTAAATAATAAAATGTCATTTAAAAAACTAACACACAATCTGAAATAAATTAAGAAATTAAGAAGAAAAATAAGCAATCATAATTGTAACACAAAAATGCACATTGTTAACTTTTTATGTGGCATTTTCTTCTGTCACTACCTGTATGATTTTCCTATTTTAATAAAGTTTTGTACTTGAGAAGAAAAGGTAATTGTTTTTAATACATATTAGTTATGTTTAAATTCTTAGTTTCCACAAAAAATTTTTACTTTTAGCTATTTTAATCACACATAGATTATTATAATAGGAAATATTATAAATATAAAAATAACAGAAATATTTTACTTTATAAGACACAATAATATTTGATCACAAGAATTCAAATTCACACAAAAGATGTTAAACTGTGAACCTGGAGTCATTTTTTTTTTTTCAGACGGAGTCTCGCTGTGTCGCCCAGGCTGGAGTGCAGTGGCGCCATCTCGGCTCACTGCAAGCTCCGCCTCCCGGGTTCACGCCATTCTCCAGCCTCAGCCTCCTGAGTAGCTGGGACTACAGGCGCCAGCTACCACGCCCAGCTAAGTTTTTATTTTTTTTTGTATTTTTAGTAAAGACGGGGTTTCACCGTGTTAGCCAGGATGGTCTTGATCTCCTGACCTCGTGATCCGCCCGCCTCGGCCTCCCAAAGTGCTGGGATTACAGGCTTGAGCCACCACACCCAGCTTGGAGTTGTTCTTTAATAAAAGAATTGCAGGCAACATTACTGCAAATGTTTCATTGCATCTACATAAGGACAGGAACGATTAATTATAAACAGCTTCTGCTGAGACTTTGGTGGCTAAATCACAGTTTATTTAATAACTGATATTTTTGTTGAGTCGGTCTACAAGACTTGTGGTATTTGTTCC
This sequence comes from Homo sapiens, assembly GCF_000001405.40. Taxonomy (NCBI): domain Eukaryota; kingdom Metazoa; phylum Chordata; class Mammalia; order Primates; family Hominidae; genus Homo; species Homo sapiens. The sequence goes on along the minus strand of NC_000003.12, from coordinate 166,821,215 downwards.
ATGTGTGATTGATTTTCACTGAACATATCAACAGTGAAAAACAAAACCATTTAAAAAATTAAGGTCATTGCATTTCCATAACTGGAATAAGTTTTATATTTAACTATATTTTAATTTTATTTCATAGCTACAATGATACTAAAATGTTCTTTGCATGCATTTTCTAACCAAAAAATTTACAATAAAAATGATAGATTTCCGCAATGAGAAAGATGCTTATGGGCCCCTGCAGACAGAAATCTGGAGAGTAGCAGTTAGTTATACAAATGCTTCTGAGCTTCATCCTAATTCATTACAGATTTGATTTTAGATGCAGTCTATATTTTTTCCTGCTCTATTTTATAAGCCTAACCTTTTGCAACCCAATGTAAGACTGTATTTCTCTAATTTCCTGAAGTTACCTCCTCTATTAACCATTTTCAAAGCCTTCCTGAGCTCCCACTCAGGTCATTGGTTATAAGGAAAACATTAAATTTTAAGTTGTGTCTTATTGGAATGAAAGATTAAACTGGAATCATTTAACCTGATTGTCCTCATTGCTGGTTCATGCTTAAGTTAAATGTACATTCTCCACTAGAGCTAATCAGCCTCTGATAAACTATGTAAATTAGAAGACCTGGGTTTCTTTCTCAACTCAGCCCATTGCATGTAGTTTGGCCTTAGGAAAACAAGTCATAGTATTTACGTGTAATTATAGATTTCTGCCAGAGTTTTTGCCCAGTTACACTAAGAACATGTTTGGACATAGTAATATAAAGTGTTATTTCCACACTAATTAATATAATCTCATGTACTGATAATTTACATTGAGTTAACTATGTCAAAATTTTGGAAACTCTAAGACATCTTTTAAGTTCTTCATCTTATCTTCAAACATGGCTCTTCATTTATCTATTTTTCTCTCTGATAGCATACAATGTTTTTGATGTTACAAACACTCTGTACATACTTATCAACTACAGAGGTCCAGATGCTTTGTGAATTTTCAATATACTGATTGAAAGAAAAGCGTTTTCTAAAGCTAGGATTTATTCTTTTAGGTGAGGAGTGTGGGATAAAGATCTTATGGAATATACCGCACTATCAGAGCACATCTTCAGAAAAAGAGATCCTAGGATCTTTCAACAAAATAGTCACAGTGTTATTAACCATACTTATTCTCCACTTAATTTTGTCCTAGTCAGTCTGAACACATTTCCTTTTGTTTTGCATCTTCTAGTTTCTTGCTTTTTTATTTTTGTTTTTGAGAGGGAGTCTCGCTCTGTCGTTCAGGCTGGAGAGCAGTGGCATGACCTCTGCTCACTGCAACCTCCGCCTCCCAGGTTCAAGAGATTCTCCTCCCTCAGCCTCCCGAATAGCTGGGATTACAGGGGTAAGCCATCACACCGGCTAATTTTTGTGTTTTATTAGAGATGGGGTTTCACCATGTTGGCCAGGCTAGTCTCCAACTCCTGACCTCAAGTCATCTGCCCACCTTAGGTTCCCAAAGTACTGGGATTACAGAAGTGAGTCACCATGCCTGGCCAATTTCTTGCTTCTATTGCCTGGCGTTGAGATCATCTTATATATGCACATTCTTATAAATAGCATTTCACATTATTTTCTTCTGAACCAAACACACTAAACTCATACACAAAGCCCTGAAAAAAAAAATTTAACTTCTCTAGTTTGTGCTCTCTACCATTCAGTCACCAGTCTGAAACAATTGTGTTCATTTTTAGTATCTAATTAAACACAGTTTTATTATATTTTTGGAGACTCAATATTTTTTCAGAATTAATTTCAATTGTTATAGTTTCATATTTAGTTCTACATAGTTAATACATATTCTATATTTAAAAAGGCACAAGAAATCTAAACTGTTTTTTTCTGCAAATTTTGTGGTAGAACATACTCATTTTTTAATGAAAAATAAATGGACCCCAATGGACTTAGTGCTAAAAGTTAAGAGACCAAAGGCGGAAACCACAGAGCCAGATATTTTAGCCTGTTTAGACAAAGCTTTGAGATAAATTATTAGGATAAGGCAGAATATTACTCTATGAGTTTATGATTAACACAATTTATTTTATGTAAGGTCATGGGTACTGAGGACATTTTTTGTGTCATGTAAGTAACAAATAGAATTGGTTAAACATTTGTGATGAGGAGTTTATACGTGGGGAAAGAAAAAAAATCTGCAATCAAGATATTCCCAACAAAAAGAAAATAAGTGAAGCTCTTTGAGTTAAACTATGTTTTATTCATCTTGGTGCAAAGTAGATCACATATGGTAGGTACTCAAAGTTTGGAGAGTGAATGAATACAAGAATGTTAAATGAATACTCTAGGTGATGAGGAATAAAATAAACTAATATTTGATTGCTATTTATCTTTTGTAAAACACTTTTGAATAGATGATCCACCCCCTTTTTATTACAAGGAACTGTGAACTAAGTTGAGTGACCATTAATTACTAAATCCCTTTCAAAAAAAAGAGTGTTAAAGCTCAAAAAATTTAAGGAAAGGTGCAAGATTAAAAGTTGCAAAACAGGTCTGGTTCCATTGCCACAGCACCAAATTCTCCTTTTTTAAAATAGCCTCAGGTGCCTCAGTAAAACACATACAAAGTAATTCAAACAAAAATGTGTTCAACATAAAACAGTGGTTGAAAATGTTATTTAGAAATACTTTTAGCTTCTGACATTAAATTGCATGGTACTTGAAAATCTTTTGTAAGAACTTAATTATGTTATAATTTCAAAAATATAGTTGCTATACATTAAATATAATACAACTCACATACTACTAAGTGTTGTAAACTATGATTTCTATACATAAATGTAGTTGCATTATCATTAGGCACATTAAAATTAATCTCATGTCCTTGAATACAAATAAATTGGAAAAATTATTCAAATTTTATTAAGTTCAATTGTACATATTTTTGAATATTTACATGGTCACTTTTAAACACATTTTATTAAATGTTTTATGGTAACTCATTAAAATATTTAGAATATTTAGTCTTTCTAAGAGGAAGTTTTATGTTTATTGGAGAATGAACACACTTTACATACTAAAGCCTTCAGTTCAGTTCCAATCTCATAGCACAATAGGTTTAATAGTTTGAACTTTTTATTAAGTGGATCTTTTGGTCATAATTTATCACCATTCATTCATTCCATAATTTTTTGTTGAGAAAAGACTATGGACAGGCCGTTATCTAGTTATTAATAGTATAATGGTGAAGGAAGGAGTCAACATCCATGCCATCATATAACTTATCTTGTAATGTGAAGAGGACATATCAGAAATACATAAAATAATAATATATAATATATCAGTTGGTAAGAGCTACGCAAATATTTAAGGAGAGAGGAGAACAAAGAAAGCAATGATGGTACTGGAGGTTATTTGAATTTTAGAGTCAGGAAAGTCTTACTGTTTGAGAAGTCATTTGGCGCCATGTAGAGAAGAGAATAGACAGTGTAGTATGTAGTAGTGGAAGGAGAGAGGGATAGTGGTAGTATTCCAGGTACCTGCAAGTTCAGTGCCTTGATTTTGCATTATGCTGGAGAGAAGAAAGCAAGGATAGCAGAGTAGGAGATGAAGCCAGAGACAGCCTAGGAATAGATCACCTAGGACATTGTAGGTGTGTTAGTAGCTGTATTAGTGGCTGGGGAGGATTTTTATACTGTCTTCCCTCATTTTATTTTAAAGGGTATAATGAAATGGTCAAATTTATTTATTTATTTATTTATTTATTTATTTATTTATTTATTTATTTATTTATTTTTGAGATGGAGTTTCGCTCTTGTTGCCCAGGCTGGAGTGCAATGGCATGATCTCGGCTCACTGTAATCTCCATCTCCTGGGTTCAAGCGATTCTCCTGCCTCAGTCTCCCGAGTAGCTGGGATTACAGGCACGTGCCACCACGCCTGGCTAATTTTTTGTATTTTTAGTAGAGATGGGGTTTCACCGTGTTAGCCAGTATGGTCTCGGTCTCCCGACCTCATGTCATCTGTCCTCCTCGGCCTCCCAAAGTGCTGGGGTTACAGGCCTGAGCCACCGCGCCTGGTGTAGAAATCACTGTGTTTTTTTTTGTTGTTTTTTTGTTTTTTTAGCTGGAGTCTCACACTGTTGCCCAGGCTGGAAGTGCAGTGGCTAGATCTTGGCTCACTGCCTCCTGGGTTCAAGTGATTTCCCTGCCTCAGGCTCCCAAGTAGCGAGTAGCTGGGATTGCAGATGCACGCCACCACAACCAGCTCAAATTTAATATGAATAGTGAAAATGTGGATAAACATGGTACCTATTCAGTGCTGCTGAGAGTGCAAATGTCTCAATCACTTTGGAAGGCAATGTAATGCTATACTTTGAAGTTGAACATTTATATACTGTATAAGCCACCAATTCTGTTAATAGGTGTACTCCACAAAGAAACTTGCAAATGCATGTTAGAATGCATGCACACCATTTCTTATCAGCACTGTTTACAATTGCAAAAATCTGAAAAAACCTAAAATATTCATTGACAAGGAAATCCATTATAATGTTGGATTATTATGTAGAAGTGAAAATGTATGAGCTAGATGTCAATGCAGCAACATACATAGATCTTAGAATCAGTGGATAGTAAAATCAGCAAGTTCCAGGAGATGACACAGGGTATGGTAGTATTTTTATAAGTATCTATAAAAACAAAAATAGTTTATTTGATAACTACATATGTAACCAAGCTAAACCAAAAAAAGTAAACAGAATGATGAACAACACACAACAATTAACGGGGTAAGATGAGAGAAAACTACATAGATACATGCAATAGTATTGACAATTTTTCCAATTCATAAAATTGAGGGTAATTTAAAGCTGTTTGTTTATCATTTTGTTTATATGTATTATGTATCAAACATTTTATAAGACAAGTAATTAATTAACATATACATATTTACTTTGAAATATTAGTAGAAAAATACTAACTGATGAAAATAATTTTAGTACAATATAAATCAGAAGCATGCCATTGGTATATAAAAAATTGTTCAGGAAAATGCACGTTTGTTATCTGAAAAATACTTTAATGCCAAAATGCATGAAAGGCACTGTATAGTTTTGAGCAGAGTAATATGGTCAGACTTTCATTTCAAGGTATTGCAGGATTGCTATGTAAAAAATAGACCACAGGTAGATAGAGATTGATGCAGGGAAACTAATTAGGGGACTATTTCAGATGAGGGATGATTGTAGCTGGAGTAGACCTAGCAGTGGATATGGTGAGAATTGTTTTGATTCTGGATATTTTTCATAGCTATATCTATGAAGGTCAACATTAAAGAAAAGAGATATCAAGGTTATGGACCTTGACATTGGAGTAGAATGGAGTTGACATTTAATGAAATGGGGAAGACTGTAGGAAGGACAGGTTTAGGGGATGGAACACAAGAGTGTGGTTTTGAACATTTTAGACTTGTGATGTCTATTACACATAGAAGAAAAGATGAGAGATCAGTGTCTAAGTTCAGAGGAGGTATTAGAGCTCCAGCTATAAATGTGGATGTCATCAGTATTTGATATTTACAGTCAAGAAACTAGAATTGAAATGATTTAGAGGTTAACCCTTGACAACCAAAGGAGACTGAACACATGAGGCCAGAGAGTGAATACATTGAGGGAAGGCAGTCCTGATGTCCAATAAGGGTAGCATTTGAGAAAGAGTAAATGACCAGTTGTGTTAAATGTGGCAGATATTATATAAGAGAAAGTTGAGACCTGATACTGGATCTGGTCTGATAAAGGGCATTGATTAGAGTGACAATGGAGGCCCACATACTATGCCTAAGTATTCACAAGTTATGAATCAAAGCAGTAAATTCTTAAATTATCTCTTCATTTCCAAGTTTACAAGTATATCTTCATAATAATAAAATACAAAAATATGTAAACTTATTTTGTCAAATTATTGAAGATGAGCCACAAAATTAGATTTTAAAGAAAAAAGGAAAAGTAAAGGGAAAAAAATGACATATGATGTCACTAAGAAACCTTACAATTTTCTGCAAGAATCTACTGTATTTATTCTGAGAGGAGGGATTTGTGAAGCTAACTTGCCTTTTCTACTACTTAAGTATTATGTTCAAATCCACTATTCAGTTCACATTATCTGAGTCAGTCATTGATGGCAGCAGATTCAAAAGCCACAGACTTTCAGAGCATCTGGATGCTGGCGCATGTTTTTTTGTGAACAGAAGGCAGGAGATGTGGAGAAGTATTCTCCAAGGCCTGAATAATATTCAGTATGTGAATGAATGTTTTAGGTCACTGTGTGACGTACTAAAGATCACATGCCAAGTGATGGAGGCATCTATGTGTTCTTAAATAACATTTTTTTCTTCCTGTGGGCAGAGGTGGTAAGCTTTATGACTTGTATATGTCCCTAGATACAAGTAAATATGATTATTCCTAAACCTCATCATCTCTACTTCAAGGTTGGCATGGTGGAAGGTGGAAATGAGGAGTATTGGAGCTTTGATTCCTTAGGATTCCCTTTGTTGCACTCTCTCATTTCAATGCTTCGGATCAGGGAACATGTGGAACTCAGAGGTTGTGGGCTTGAACAGCTCCAAATGCCATAGCTGAAGCTGGATACTTTCTTTTTCTTTGTCTATTAAAGGATGTAAATATTGAAAAAAAAATCAGGCCTTGGAAGTTAGTTAGTTCCATCCGTCTTTACTTCATGACACCTTATATTTTCTAGAACTAAACAGATAATCTGGCATCATTTTTATGCATTTCTGATATTCAGAATTGAATCAAGACCTACTTTCTAAGGACTGAGGTGGCAAACTGAATATTTTGTTTAAGGTTATTTCTCAGATACTTATATTTTTTGTGACAAGTGAAAAAAATTGAATTAGAATGAGGATATTTGAGGAGAAAAATAATTTGTTTGCTAAGTGGAATTCAATATAAGTGCCATTTAGAATTTAGATATTTTCAGATACTTATTTTTCCATGCATGCGAAGTTGAATATTATGCTAAATATGAGAGTCAAGAAAATATTTTATAAAATGAATTTAATCATTTTTAGTTTGGTTGCATAAAAATATGTTATCAGAAGCTATGGCAAATTGATTTTTGGATGGAGAGGGATTTCCAAGGCATTAAGCGATTTGCTTTTGCTTGTCAGCAACATGGAAGCAAGAAATATTTTATCTCATTTGGGCCAGTAGTTCTTGTCTGGTTCATTAGTTTTCATTCAAGTTCATCTACTTGCCACGGTTAATACACAAATGCTTTAATGAGTGTGTATAAATAAGCTGAGGCTGAATTTGGCCTATAAATTTCTAGGATGTAATTGCCTCTAGAATATACGTACATAGTTGTCCTTCTTCTAATTATTTTCAATTAGTATAGAATATAAGCCAAACTAGTACTTTTTACGTACAAATGTGTGTGTGTGGGGCGGGGGGGGGGGTGGGTGGGTGGTCACTGCATTATTCAGAACTCTGGAAATTAGTTAATTAGAGTTTAAGTACTTGATGGTTTAATGAGCACAAAATCTAACTATTATAAAATTAGAGAACTTTCAAACAGATTTGATAAGATATCAACTTCCTTCTAAAATTTTTTAACTTCTTCACCTCAGCACAGGTATAAATAGCTTCTTTATTGCATGGAAACTTTACTAACTTTTCTATTTTAACATACATCATGTTTACTATAATTTTAATGTCATCGTCACAAAGAAAACACGGGCTTCTTGGGGGCGGGAACAATAAAGCATTCACTGATGTTTTCAGTAAAAAACTGTAATGGATAAAGCCAAGTAAGCTTAGCAAATATTTATTGACTCTTATTATGATCTTCTTCCTCTTACTGCTTCCTTGTAAACAGTTTTCCTCCTCTTTCTTTGTCCTTCCTCCCAATATTTAGTACTAAAGCTTATAGCCTTATACATGTTTATTATATCTGTCAGAGTTCATCTCTTTTCATAGCTATAGCTGCTACCTCGAAAGCATAGACCCATGTATTTAGCCTGTCCTCTCAATTGCATCCTGTCTCATATTAAGCTTGTCACGGAAGGATTCCATATCTGTCTGATGCATTTCCCCTGTTTTCTTCACTGCTTTTGCTTCCTAAAATCTGGTCTACTGGTATAACCACTTTTTAATTTGTGTTCTTCACTTCAGTACCTTTTCCTTCAGTCTATCTTTATTGTTTGTGTATTTGGAGATTAAAGAACTGATTTTATTAAGATAAAAACTGACAGCATGCATGGTATGAAGTTTATAATAAAACAAGGTTTTCACAGAAACCTAACAAATGACTAAAAAGATTTCACAATGTAGTACTAGATTCAGGTCTAGACAATGTCAAGAGCTTGTTGTTCTCATGATTCAAGACAGAGCACTTTAGGTATCAGTTAATTCTTAGAATATTTTTAAAAAATGTTTTTCTGTTGAGGGGTGTGTGTGTGTGTGTGTGTGTGTGTGTGTGTGTGTGTGTGTTTTAAAGTGAACCAGTAACCCAGTATGAAAGTTTAAACTTCTCTTGAGGACAGAACTTTTGAAATTATTCAACCTTTGAGTAGATTTAATGAAAATTGTGCTGTCTGTGGCTGACCCCTTCCACCAGTGGTTTCAGAGTTTGAAACTCAAAAAAAAAAAAACAGAGACACTTCAAGAATTCTAACAATGTGGGTCTTTTCCTTTTCCTACTCTTCCATCTACTATGCCACCTTCTTCCCCTCCCCAAATACCTCAGCCAGTGCATTCTATGAACAAGCTGATATTTGTAACTTCATAATTAAAAAATCAAGGGTCTTCTTGTCTAATTTCAAGAATTAACACCTCTGATACAGAATGATATGCCTGTTTATACTCTCCAAGAAAAGACTTTCCTCTTCAGTCAGTTACCATCTTCAAAATGGCAGCTTTGGAACTTATGAAATGGTCTTTGTGGAGAAGAGCATTAAGCTCAGGCAGGGAACACCTTCACTTATAGATTTCACGTATTTACAACATCTAAACAGTCTATTATAGTCCTCATTTATGGTGTCAATGTCATTTTTTGAAAAGGTAAAATATTGTGAGCATAGAAGCAAGTAGTTAGTTACCTGTTCTTTCCACTGTTTTATCATTTCCTGAATCAGGCCCCAAATTTTAACCCAAATGAACCTGTCCATCTCCCTTCCTCCCTCCACATCCCTCCCACCCCCAAATAATACACCAGTAATAGCCAACAACTACAGACATGCTATGCTGTAAAAAATGCATAGTTAACACTACTGGGAAGAGGACTGTGGATTGTAGAGAGGCTCTTTGAAGATCTACAGTATCTTTTTTGCTCTCCCACACATCCAAATCCGCAGATTTTGTTCGTCATTGAAGACCCGTTGTTTTTCTCAGCAAAGTTTAAAACCGGTTGCCTTGAAACATTTATCCCCTTCCCCTTCCATATGTGCACACTATATAGCTCCAAAGGACGTTAAAGCACTTGGGTTGCTGCAGGACACAGAAAACTATACTTGCTCTTCAAAGAACATCGTCTCAAGCCACTTCTATGGTGTCAAGACAAGTAGAACTCTTGCCCTTCCCTCTTGAAACCCACAGTCAGATGTCACAGAAGCTGGTACTCAGAAGAATTAATTCTTGTCATCATTCTTGTTATCATCCTCTGAGGGGTAGAAATACCACACTGGCCTTTCCTCACATAAGGATATGTCAATCTGTGAGCACTTGACATTGGCTTCCTTGGCAGAAGCCAGGTCAGCCTCATTAGAGGCTTTCCATTTCATCAGGAACATGGGCTCTCTCTCCACTGGAGTCGGTAGCTCCAATAATCCTCTGTGACTCAAAACCCAGGGCAAAGCCCCTCTTGGCTTTTCTGACGACTTCTTCTTCTTAGGTTTGACCTCCTCTCCCTTACCTCCAGAATCGGAAACAGCTTTGTGCTTGCCTCCCTCTGACTCATCTGTCTCGGGCTGTTTTCTGTGACTGCAGAAACTCAGCAATGACGTTCTCATCTGGCTCCCCCTGTGTTTGTCGTCCTCATCTGCGAAACCCTTCCACTTTAGCGGCTATTCCACTTTACCCTTCACCGCACAACAGTGGAGAACTTCTTCCACCACACACTCCTTTTCCTCATTCGGCACCTCTACCACAGTTTTTTCTTGTTTAAATTTTTCCACATGGTGCCTGCCAGCTTTCTGGTGACGCTGAAAGGGTGACGCTGCTCAGAGCAGCACCCAAGAGCCAGAGAAGAATCGGTGCCGTGCTGCTGGCTTGGCGTGCGGCTCGCTGGGGACTGGCGCCCAGGAAAGCAACAAGCCTGGTGGTTGCGGTGGAGCCCTTCACTGAGGCGGTGAACCGCAGGCCCTGGACAACCGCTGTCTCCTCTTCCGAGCCCCTTTCATCTATCTTTTATCCTAACAAAAACATTTTTATCTAAAATATATAATACCCCTGCTCTTTCATAGCACCATAGGGTGACTATCGTCAATGATGATCGTATATTTTAAAATAACTTAAGGAATAAAACTGGATTACTTGTAACTCAAAGGATAAATGCTTGCGGGAATGGATACCCCATTCTCCATGATGTGCTTATTTCACATTGCATGCCTGTATCAAAACATCTCATGTACCCCATGTATATATTTCTCATGTACCCCATGTAAATATATATACCCACTATGTACCCACAAAAATAATCAAGTATTCAAAATAAAAAATAAAGTACATATTAATTTATATCACTCTTCTGTTTCAAAAATCTCCCACATACAGCCCTTTGATATCCACTATGAAACTTAAGCCACATTTCCTTACTCATTTCTCGAAACTTTCCACACTCTATAATTCACTATTTTCTAAATATTGCCATGGGATTCTTTAGCTTGATGTATTTTATTATGATTTATTTTCTATATAAAAAAAATTCTCTCATCTATTAGTCATTTTTAAACAACTAGCTTAAATATGAAGACTTTTCTGCAGTTGGATTTAATCTTATGTTTTTGGAAATCATATTTTATTTGAACTTCACATCATACCTTGAAAATAATCATTTATGTAAATATTTATCTTTTTTACTATACTGTAATCTTCCAAAAGACAGATAAGAGAGTGCTCGGTTTAGTGGAACATTTGTCCAGTATGAGTGATGGTAATGTTCTCCAGCCACATCTTTCTCTCCTGACTGAATCTCTCTATCACATTGAAAAGGACCAGGAAGACTTTTATCTCTGAACCCTCTAGACTTATGACATTAAAAAGCATGAACCTAGCTTATAGTTCTATGATTTTACCAATTCTTGATAAGCAGTCAGCGACGGTAATACAATTAACAAAGTAAATGTTACTAGCAGAGTAACATTTAGTTGCATTTCACATCATCTTATTTCTTCTTTTTTTTTTTTGTTTCTTGTTGGTGTTGTGCTACTTATCTTTGTTGACTTAACCAGGAAACTCATGCATGATAGCAAACATGTTCTTACCTCTTATTGTCTCCTGACAGATACTACTGATAATACCCAATGGAGTTCTGTAAACACAATATAATCTGACTAGGTAATTGGGTTTTTGTTTGTTTTTTGTTTTTTTTTTATCCCTTTGATTCTTGTCAATATGTTACACTTAAAACTGTTATACGGACATTTCTAGTTCTTTAATCCACGTATAAATTCAGTAAATGTTCTGCCACAATTAAATATACTAGATGCTTAGATGAGCATATTCTTATTTTATCATTTATACAGTATTTTAAATTACTTTATCTGCTTTTTAAAAACAATTGTGCTATTAACTTTTTCTTTCTTTTCACTCAGATTTCATCAACACGTTGGAAATACAACACATTTGCAAATAAGTTGTGATAAATAAAAATACTTATAATGTGGCTGGAGTTTTTATTTTTATTTTTTAATTTTTATGGGTACATTGTAGGTATAAATATTTATGGGGTACATGAGATATTTTGATACAGGCATACAATGCATAGTAATCACATCAGGATAAATAAAGAATCTTCATACCCCATTGTGTATCAAAATATCACCTCAAGCATTTATCCTTTGTTTGTGTTACCAACAATACAACTTTACTTTTTAGTTATTTTGAAATGTACAATAAATTATTATTAACTATAGTCACCCTATTGTGAAATGTACAATAAATTATTAACTGTAGTCATCCTATTGTGCTATCAAATACTAGATTTTATTCATTCTATCAAGCTATTAATATATTTTGGTACCTACTAATTATCTCCACTTCACCCGCTCCCCAGCTATCCTTCCCATCCTCTGGTAACTATTATTCTCTATCTCCGTAAATTCAATCGTTTTAATTTTTAGCTGCTATAAATAAGAGAAAACATGCAAAGTTTGCTTTCCGTGTCTGGCTTATTTCACTTAACATAATGACCTCTAATTCCATCCATGTTTTGCAGGGTCTCATTTTTTAATGACTGAATAGTACTCCATTGTGTACATATACTACATTTTTTTTTATCCATTCATCTGTTGATGGACATCTAGAATGCTTTCAAAGCTTGACTTTTTGGAATAGTGCTGCAATAAACATGGAAGTGCAGATATCTCTTCACTGATTCACTTCTTTTTGGGTATATAATAAGCATTGGATTTCTGGACCATATAATAGTTTTATTTTTATATTCGAGGAACCTCCAAACTGTTCTCCATAGTGTTTGTATCAATTTACACTCCCACCAACAGTATACTATGTTTCCTTTTTCTCCACATTCTTGCCAGAATTCATTATTGCCTGTCTTTTGGATGAAAGCCATTTTAACTGGGGTGAGATTATATCTCACTGTAGTTTTAATTTGCATTTATCTGATGATCAGTGATGTTTAGCACCCTTTATGTATCTGTTTACAATTTCTATGTCTTATTTTAAGGCATGTCTATTCAGATCTTTTGCCCATTTTTTAAACAGATTATTTGATTTTTTTCTGTAGAGTTGTTTGAGCTTCTCTTTTTCACGGTAAACACGTATTTTAGTTATGAATTCCTTGTCAGAATGATAGTTTGAAAATATTTTCTCTTATTCTGTTGGTTGTCTTTTCACTTTGTTGATTGTTTCTTTTGCAGTGTGGAAGCTTTTTAACTTGCTTTGATCTCATTTGTTCATTTTTTATTTGGTTGCTTGCCTTTTGCTTTTTGCCAGTTCTTGTAGGGTATTCCTCAAGAAATCTTTGCCCAGAACAAAGATTTTGTCCTGGAGAGTTTCACCAATATCATTTTTCAGTCATTTCATAACTTGAGGTCTTATATTTAAGTCTTTAATCCATTTTGATTAGACTGTTTTTTACAGGGTGAAAGATAGAGTTTTAGTTTCATTCTTTTGCATATGAATATCCAGTTTTTCCCACACCATTTAATGAAGAGACTGTTCTTTCTTCAATGTATGTTCTTGGTATCTTTGTAAAAGATGAGTTTGTTGTAGATGTGTGGATTTGTTTCTGGGTTCTTTATTCTGTTCCATGAGTGTAAGTGTCAGTTTTTATGCTAGTACCATTCATTTGTTTGTTACAGCTCTGTAGTATAACTTGAAGTTATACCGTAAATGTGATTCCTTCAGTTTTGTTCTTTTTTCTCAGAAGAGCTTTCACGATTCTGGGTCTTTTGTTGTTCCATATAAATGTTAGATTTTTTTTCTATTTTTATGAAGACTTTCATTGGTATTTTGATAGGAATTGCATTAAACCTGTAGATTGCTTTGGATACTAAGGACATTTTTAACAATATTGATTCTTTCAATCCATGCTCTTTTTTTTTTTTTTTTTTTTTTTTTTTTACATTTTTGGATTTCTCTTTAATTTATTTAGTCCATGTCTTATAGTTTTCATTGTAGAGACTGTTAACTTCTTTGGTTCAGTTAATTCATACACATTTTATTTTATACTTAGCTATTGTAAATTAGATTATTTTCTTGTTTTTGATTTCATATTATTCACTGTTGGCATAAAGAAATGCTATTGACTTTTGTATGTTGACCTTGTATCCTGCAACTTTACTAATTTTTTTTATCATTTCTAATAGTTTTTTGTGAACTCATTAGATTTTTAAAAATATAAGATCATATCGTCACAAACAAGGATAATTTAACGTCTTCCTTTCCAATTTAGATGCCCTTTATTTATTTCTTTTGTTTAATTGCTCTAGCTAGGACCTCTATTACTATGTTTAATAACAGTGGTGTGAGTGGGCATCCTTGTGTTCCAGATCTTAGAGGAGAAAGGATTTCGGTTTTCCCCGATTCTGTATCATACTAGTTATGTGGCTTTTATTGTGTTGAGGTATTTTCCTTATACACCCAGGTTTTTTTAGGGTTTTTATCATAAAGGGATGTTGGATTTTTTCAAATGCTTTTTCAGCATCAATTAAAATTACCTTAGGGTTTTCATTTTCATTTTATTGGTATGGTGTATCATACTGATTGATTTTCATATATTGAACCATCCTTGCATCCCTGGGAATAATCTCACTTGGTCATGATGGGGTTCTCTTGTAGGTGACCTGCGCCTTCTGTCTAGTTGCCTTTAAGATTTTTTTCTTTTGCATTTATCTTAGAGATAGGATGGCTGTGGGTCTAGAGATGGTCATCTTGCATGGTATCTCACAGTGGTTCTCTGAATTTCATGAGTTTGAATGTTGTCCTCTTCAGTGACGGGGAAATTTTCTTGGACAATATCCTCAAATATGTTTTCCAAGTTGCTTGCTCTCCCTTCCTCTCTGCAGTAATGCTAGTGAGTTGTACATTTTGTTTCTTTCTATAATCCTATTATTTTCAAAAGTTTTTTTCATTCTTCTTTCTACTTTTTTTTGTCTGACGTGTGATTTGGAGAACTGTCCTTTGCTCTAAGATCCTTTTCTCATCTTGATGTATTCTTATGTTAATTATTGATTCTTCTATAAAATTCTTGTAATCTGTTTTTCAGCTGTATCAGATCAGTTTGAGTCTTTCTTAAAATGGCTATTTTTGTCTTTTAGCTCTTGTATCACTTTATTGGATTCTTTAGATTTCTTGGATTAGGTGTCAACTTTCTCCTGAATCTCAATTATCTTTGTTGCCTTCCAGATTTGGAATTATGTTTGTCATTGGAGTCCTTTCAGCCTGGTTAAGAAATATTCCTGGTAAACTAGTGCAGTCATTGGGAAGAAGACACTCTGGCTTTTTGAGTTGCCAGAGTTATTGCACTGGTTCTTTGTCATCTGTGTGAGCTGATGTCCCTTTTATTTTTAAGTTTCTGTCCTTTGATGTGGCTTTTTGTTTTTTATATTATTTGATGCCCTTTAGGATTTAACTGTGGTATAAGTTGGGAACAGTCAATGGGCTCCATTACTGGATGATTTTAGGAGGTAAAGACTCAGCTCAGCACTCCTGGGCTGTGTGTTCTCACCCTGGCAGTGGAGCCAGGCCCAACTTGGTTCTCTGGACCCTCTAAGTTAAGTACCTGCTGCACTGGAGGGTCTGAGGTGTTCCTGGTCACTGGCAACAACACTCAGGTGATAGGTGCCAGCAGATGCACTTTGTTGGGACAGTGGAAGCAGGGTATACTCTCATGTGTGCATGTACCACTGGGGGTGGGGCAGTGGAAGCAAGATCCATGCAAGCATGTGTTCTAGCAAAGCAGAGGGTCAGTGGTGGGCAAGTGCATTCCAGCAAAGCAGTGGTGAGAGGCTTCGGTTGAGTGTGTTGGCAGGAACCTGTGGGCAGATGCATGATGGTGGGGACTCATCTGCAGAAGCTATCTGATGGTTGTGTTTGCTGGCAAAGGAGCTATGGTGGTGGCCACTGTGAAATATGCTGCCTGGACATCTGAAGCTATGCTACAAGTGGCCATGACCAGGCAGGGATCTCAGTAGAGGACAGCAGACACAGGGGTGCTCACATAGACTGGCCCCATCCTATGTGCAATACAACTGTGCTCTTTCCAGTTCTGACAGTCAACCAAAGACCAAAGCCATCTAGAGGAACACGGCAAGCCTTGGGTGATAGGTGTTCTTGGCTGTGATCCACTGCAGCTGTTCCCATGAGCTTCACTCAGGCTGGAGGTCTATCATTGCCACCTTTCCAAGCAGCTCTTGCCTCCAGCTCAGATGTTTGTGGTGATCGTGGGGTATCCTGCAGCTTGGGTTTCAAAAGCCTGTGGAGACGGTGGGCCAATGCTCTCCTATCTCACTCACTCCCCTTCCAGGAGCTCCTGGGAGGCCAGGAATCAGTCCTGGTGCTAGGAAGTACCTTACAGGGTTCTCAGCTTCCTCTCCAGTCAGCCCATGGTCTGTATCCTCCCTCTGTCTACTCTCAATGCCTTCTCTTTGAAGATCTGGTTGGAGTGTACCAGTATTCTTGATGATATTGTCTCTCAGTGGGAGATGCTCGTCCTGGCTGCATCTACTTGGCCATCTTGGCTCTTCTCACCAGACTTGTTTTAATGCCACAGAATTGCTCACAGTTTCTTTATTGATTCCACTCTTTCTTTGTCCCTCAAGGCCATTCTTTCTCTTCTACATGCTGCTTCATATACTGGGAAGCTAAACTGATCTATTTACAGAATTTGGTATTAGTCTGCTCAAGAATTTAGTATTTTCCAGGTTTATTCTTAGAAGGTTGTAGTTTCCACAGTTTTTAAATGTCCCCTAAATTTTTATTTTGTATATATAGAAGTGTTCATAATGATCTGTGAGGCTCTTTTGTACTTCTGTGGGATCTATAGTAATGTCACCATTGTCATTTCTGATTGTGCTTATTTAAAAACCTTTATTTTAAAATAATTATGCATTTACAAAAGTTGCTGAGCTAGAATGGAGAAGTCCTGTGTATTCTTCACCCAGGTCACCCTATGAGTTAAACATTTTAAGTTTTTATGAAGTCCAATTTATTCATTTGTTTTCCTTCTATGAATGGTGCTCTTGGTGTCTTGTCTGAGAATTTTTTCGTAATCCTTAGATCTCAAAGACTTTTCAGAATATTTTTTCCTAAATGTTTTGTACTTTCCATTTTATATTTAAACATTCTAATTTGAGTTAACTTTTGTATAACGTATGAGGTTTCAGTTGGGGCTCATTATTTTGACTACAGATAAATTGTGATATAAAATGTCATCAAAATAATTACACATACACTGTATAAATAGAGCATTCTATGTAAAATATCACTAAGTAAAATGTAGAATTTGTTAGATAATAAGCAGAATTCACAATGGTATATTTACCTTGAAAGTAAATTTACTAATTAATTTGTTTTCTAACTTATTCTTCACAAAAAAGATCTCATACAACTTGATTTGAAGTACTAAACTGAATTGTTTGATTATAAAAATTGGAAATCAAAAGGATTTGTAAGCAATATGTTTTTTCATGACAGTTAAATCTATTTTGTCACTAAGCTGCTGTTTTTCTCCTTTTTCAGATTTTTGTCCAAAATATATTTTATAATTTTATTATAATTCTGAAATAAAATATAAATTTAGAAAAGGGAAATTAAAAACTTGCATTTTATATATAAAACATTTTAATAATTTTAACCACTTACAGCCAAATAATTACTTTTATGGTTGCAATTTTTTAAGTGACGCTGTCTGCTCCTAATGATGAATCATTCTTGTAAATAAGAATATTAACAAAAGTGTATATAGGGTATACTTTATATAAATCCCATTAGTATTCTTTCAAAATTTAAAACTTTTGGATGTGAAATAGTTAAGACAATTTTGTTACATGTTCATGTGGACTCCTCCTCATTTTGCTAGGATATCTAAATGTTATATTACTTGAATACTACCTAGTAACATTTTCAGTGATATAAGCAGTTATCAGTGTTTGATTCTTTCCCAGTGCTCAATTATGTACAAATTATGTACAAATACATTTATTTTTTATTAAAAATGTAAATGAAATGTTACAAGAATAAAGAATACTTCATGATTTTAAAATTCCTGAGAATGTCTCAGAATTCTAGTTTTTCATTCCAAAATGCCAGTAAATAATAGCTGTTGGGATTTGAAAAGAGTATATTTTTAGTTAAGGGATTCAATTAAAATTGGACACATCATATTATAAATTTTTTTTATAAAGTAATGGTTAATATATTTTTAAAAATATAAGTTTATATCTGGGACAAAACTATAAACCTCATTACAAGACAAAAAATAATTGAAAAGGTAAAACAAGTAAAATATTTTAAATAAGATATACATAAATTAATATGTAATATGCATAATAATTTAAAATATTTTAACAGAGTTGAGACGTAATCTAGAAATTGTATCAATAAATATGAACAGACTTAATTCATCTATTAAAATAAATAAATATATCTTTTCAATTTTAATTACAAAGCAAAACCCAACTCTGTGCAGTGTATGAGATGCACCTAAAACAGAATGATTTGGAGAAGCCAAAATTGAAGAAGTAGATGAAGATACATCAGAGAAATAAAAATGATAAAAAAGTTAAAGGTAAAAAAGCAACAAAATATCACTGCATATCCGTTAAGAATGATTAAAATTCAAAACCCTGACAACACAAAATGCTGGCAAGATTATGGAACAATAGAAACTCTCATTCACTGCTAATGGGAATAAAAAAATGGTACAGTCAATTCGGAAAACAGTTTGGTGGTTGCTTAGAAAGCAAAACATGGGCTTAATATACAATCCGAACTGGGGGCAAAACTAAATATATATTTTTAAGAAAGAAGACAACAGCCAGTCTACAAAAGCTGCATACTGTATAATTCCTATAAATACAATAATAGAAATTATAATGAGTATATAGGAATTCCTACTGTATAATTCCTATAGGCTACATGACATTTTAGAAAAAGAAAAAGTTTAGAGTCAGTAAAAAGATCAGTTATTGCCAGATAGGACTGAGGGAGGGTTGGATAGGTGGAGATAGATTTTTAGGGCAGTAAATCTATTCTATATCATACTCTGATGATGAATATATGAGTACACATTTGTCGAAATCCATGGAGTATAAAACACAGAGAGCCTTATATAAACTATGGACTGTAGTTAATAATAATATTTAAATACTGGCTCATCAATTATATCAAATATATAACAACAATAAAACATTTTAAAAATAAGGGAAACTATGGGCTGGAGGAAATGAGTTATGTAGTAACTCTCAGTACTTTCTGCTCAATTGTTCTGTAAATATAAAATTAATTTTATTACAATGTGATCAGAATGTCGTTTGCAATGTTTCTATTCACCTATGTTATCTTTGTGACCTAATGTAAGTTCACTGTTCCAGATGTTTTGCACTCACACGAGAAGTTGCATTTTTCATTATTGGGGCATAAAGTTTGAAATATATCATCATAACTGTTACACCATTTTTTTTGTTCTATCTTTTCATGTCTATTTAGCCTGTCTCATAGCAAGAGTGATGTGTTAAAGTGTTCTGTTTTTAATATGGTTATTGCTAGTTTTCAGGCATCTCCCTCAGTTTCTGTTTTATAAAAGTAGCTAGCATGTTATTTGGGGCAGATATATTCATATTTGTTCTATCTTTTTTTCTGTTTGAGACAGAGTCTTGTTCTGTCACCCAGGCTGGAGTACAGTAGCGCTATCTCGGCTCTCTGCAAGCTCTGCCTCCCAGGTTCACGCCATTCTCCTGCCTTAGCCTCCCGAGTAGCTGGGACTACAGGCGCCCGCCACCACGCCCTGCTAATTTTTTTATTTTTTTAGTAGAGACGGGGTTTCATCGTGTTAGCCAGGATGGTCTCGATCTCCTGACCGCGTGATCCGCCCACCTCGGCCTCCCAAAGTGCTGGGATTACAGGCGTGAGCCACCGCGCCTGGCCAATTGTTCTATCTTTATTTTAATTCATAGGTTTAAGTTTTTACCTGATAGTCTCAGGAAAATAAGAAAGAATTGCAAGATATTTTAAAATTTAGCCCCAGAGTTCACACAGTACTACTTTGGTCATACCCTTTTGTTCAAGGCAGCCACAAATACACCTACATTCAATGAGATGGGCATAGATATCACCACTTGATGGAGGGATTTTTAATATCATATTGTAACTAAAGCACTTGAGAGAGATTATGTGGTGGGTACAATTGTTGGAAAATTCTATCTGCCACAGATGGCTATTGACTTGTGATAATAAATAAAACCAAGATTATGGTGGATAAGAAAACACTGGAAGCATTACCCTTAAATGCAAGAACATCCATTATCTTCACTGCTATTCAACAAGGTGCTAGAGGTATTAGCCAATAATTTTGCCAATTATTAGGCAAAATAAATCAATTGGAGACATAATTATAAAGGTGAAATAAAATAAAATATAAACACTAAATAAAATAAAAGATACAATAATATCCCTAATAGCTAGAGAACTCTTTAAAATTGAGACAGTAAGGACCAAAATCCAATACTAAAATGGAAGATATATGTATAATATTATATACTGTAATATGTAAATAATAAAACATATTACATAAATATATCTCTAGAGATTACTCCTAAACATAGAAAGAAATGTCCAATTTTTTTACTTATTAAAAAAGAGATAAATTCTACTATCTGCTTAAAATGCATCAATCCAACCCCAAAGATAGGAAAAAGTCTACAAAATCATAATTTTTCTTGAACCTGTGATAAAGCTGAGAACTGAGATTCTATAGTCATCAAGTAGCTTGAAATCTAAAGAAAGGTGCCTCCAAAGAGAAAAGGGACACAAAACACTTATCTTGGTGAGAACCCAGAGATAGGGATTTTGTCACCATTAAGGAGTCACATTTCTGCTAAAATTTTCAGTAAATTGCTAAAGACTGGGTGTGAGCTAGTAAGAGTTCTTAGAGCCCTGGAAAACCATGGATACAAGGGGGAGTTCATATTCACTCTTAACGTTTTTGATAGGTTTCCCTCCAAATGCTCATTAAAACGATTGAAGGCAGGGCAGGTGACTGCAAAACATGCAGGTCATGGCGTGTGTTGCAAGTGCTTCTGTGAAAAAGGCATAAAAGTCCACCAAGATTATTTTATTCCTTTACCGAAGCTGGGTGAGGGCAACAAACACAAGAAACAAAGCCAAAAACACATAAAAGCCTTCTTTTCTTGAAGAAGGAGCAGGAAAACATCCGGGGCCCAGATCACTGGGAATTCTCCACCACTACTGGCAGGAGCAGGATCACTACAAGATCCTTAGTCCTGAAATCAAGAGACATAGTGCCTACCTATAACACTAAAATAAGACAACAGGAAATGCCCTCCATCTCACCACTTCTTCTGCACTACACTGACACTCTAGTCCCTAGTTAGGCACAAAATAGTGCTAGAGGAATTTGGAGCCAGTTTTGCACTAAAGATAATCATAGTAAAAACAAAATCCCTGAACTAGCTCAACTCTTGATTAGACTGGCTTAACCTCTATCAAATATTCACCTAAATCCTAGCAGAAAAATGCTTATTTCTAGGCAAATATATGTATTTTTGCCTTGGTCTTGATTGTTCTACACATGATATCCAGCTTTCTACAATACCCCCCTCCTCACAAAAAAAAAGTCAAACAAAAAAGTGGGAAACACACATACACACACATATATAGGTATAGATATACATACATACAGTATAGAAACAAAGAAATCAACTGAACAACTCAGAGATGACCCAGATCGTTGAACTATCAAATAGTGGCTGTAAAAAACTAAGATTAATATGTTTAACATTTTTAAAAGCGAAGGTGGGCAACATACATGAACACCTGAGGAATCTCAGCAGTGAAATGGAAACCATAAAAGTCTAAAAATAGACAAAACACCATTTATTGCCTACGTATCAGATATGTGAAATGTTTAATACATGAAACCTAAAATAATAATATATTGTCTCAGTACATCTGTGATGATACTGACACTCATATACTTGTGGTGAAGAGGCGCACTCACAGAACTAACATGGAAGGGAATTTGCATATCTAACAAAACTCCCAATTGATCCAGCAATTTCCACTTCTAGGAATTTATCCTGAGAACAAATTTCAATAAGATAAAAACGCACACGGTCAAGTGTATTTTCTGCAGCACTGTTTGTAATCGCAAAAATGAGAAACAACATATGTTCATATGTGGGGAGGGTGAATAGACTATAATGTATTATTCAATAGTCAACTATGTAAAAATAATGATAAATACTTCTATGAACTGATATCTAATTTTCAGAGTACATCTTGATAATTTGCTGTGACAAAAAGCAAATTAAGAAAGATTGTGAACTAACATAATAGAAAGAAGAAGCAAGATGACATTACTCGAAACAAATAAGAATGGTTATCTGTGGGGGTGGATGGGTATGAGACACAAGCACAGAGGCATGGAAACATGGTAAATAAATTGGGGGTTACATTTCTTTCAGAATACTTACTTTTTAAACAGTGCTGATTTTTAGATCTAGGTTAATATTTTATATACTTACCAAATAAGTCAATTATAATAAATAAACAAATGATGGTGAAGTTTTAAGTACAGGAAAAAAATTACTCATTTTTTAAAATAAGATGGTCTCGGAGGGGCGCGGTGGCTCACACCTGTATTCCTAGTACTTTGGGAGGCCAAGGTGGGCGGGTAACGAGGTCAGGAGATGGAGATCACCCTGTCCAAAATGATGAAACCCGGTCTCTGCTAAAAATACAAAAATTAGCTGGGTGTGGTGGCGCGCGCCTGTAATCCCAGCTACTCCAGAGGCTGAGGCAGGAGAATCACTTGAACCCGGGAGGCGGAGATTACAGTGATCCGAGATTGCGCCACTGCACTCCAGCCTGGCGACAGAGTGAGACTCCGTCTCAAAAAAATAAATAAATAAATAAAATAAAATGAAATGAAATAAAATAAAATAAAATAAAATAAAATAAAATAAAAAGATGCTTTTTCTCTTTTCTTATGTCACTCTTTCTCTGTTCTTCTCTCTCAAAACTTTGTTTGAAACAGTAACACAATATGGACAGTTTCTATATAATCTTTAACTTTAAAATTTTCTGACCAGCCATGGAGAAATATTATACACAAGCAGAATAACTACTAAATTCTGATTTGGAAGCTTTAAGTTCAGACTTAAGAAAGTCATAACATTTGTGGTCTTCAGAGTCTATATTTATGTACAAAAAATACTAATTCTTATTTCTGGAAAATATGATTGAAAAGTTTGTAAGATAATATATTTAAAAATAATCCTTGAGGGAGTAAGGTTCTGAATAATCAACTAAATTTGTTTGCTGGCTGTCTTTGTCAGAATTATTGAATAATTTATTATATAATCATGCTTATTAATTCAGCGAACTAAAATCAAACAACAAAGGATTAATTGTTGACTTTTTATTTTTCTCAATAATTCTATTTAGCTAATTTTAGGCTAATTGGCTCAGTAGTCTTGAAAAAGTTTCTCAAAGAGCATGGACCATAAGTGGTTTGGAATCTTAGATTCCTGATTTTAGTCAGGTACTAAATTCCTACCTATGCTATATTCTTATCATGTGAGCATAGTACATTTTTCTTAAATTTCTTAGGCTTCTTGATTTCTTAAGCAGTCTTAAATTTCTTAAGCTTCATGTACTATGAGAATAACAAAATAAGAGTGCCTACCTAGCAGGGTAACATAACAGTGATTGCTTAACGGTAGGCACTCAGTGAATTTTAACAATTTATTATTGAATAAACTAAGACATAGATTATTATTTTATAATGATTTAAATCAATAAATTTTAAAACAGAAAAAGGTAGGTCTGTTAAATATAAAAACAAGATATTCAAAAGAAACGTAAAATAAATCCACCTACTATATTATATCAAGAAAAACGGGAGAAAAAACAAATTCATAAACAGGAAATAATAATGGAGAAATAACTAGTCAGAGAGCTATTTCAAAGAATCAGGAATACTTTGCATATAGTTCTGAAAACATGTATTTAATATGGGATTTTTTTAAAAGATAAACGTACATGCCAAGAACTGATTTTATTAGCATGGAAATCTAAGCAGAAAATTACCATCAGAGAAATAGATTAAGCTGTCAAAATACAATACTTCATTTCCTTTAGAAAGAAAGCACTTGAATAAACAGTTTCATATGATAATAGTACAATGCATTTAAGTAAGGGATAATTCTAATGTCCTTTTCACTGTTTCTGAGAAAAAATAAAAATTGCGAATTATATCTATAAAGTTAATCTGGCTTATTTTGTTTTTTTTTTAATCTTTAGAAAGTTTTATTGAAATTTTTTTCATTGTTTCTTCCTATATTTTAAATTTGGATACTTAAATCCTTTATAACAATTATTTCTCATTTCTTAATACAATTGTATCAGGTAATGCATTTTCCTCCCCACTTATTTGGCTATATCTTTAAAAAATACATTGATATATAATAATTGTATACATTTCTGGGATACATGTGATATGTTGATACATGCATACAAAGTATAAGGATCAAATCAGGGTATTTAGAATATTCATAGTCTCAAACATTTATTTTTTGTGTGTTTTGGAAAAATTTCAGACCTTCTCTCCTACCTATTTTGAAATATGCAATGAATTATTGAACACAAAACTTATTTTTTCTATTTAACTGTGTATTTGTACCCATTAACCAATCCCTCTACTCTCCCCTCACTCAATCTCCGGTGAAGATTATTGTACTTTCTACCTCCTTGAGATCACCTTTTTAAGTTCTCACCTATGAATGAGAACATGTGAAACATAATGACTTCCAGTTTCATCCATGTTGCTGTAAATAACAGAATTTCATTCTATTTTACAATTGAATGGTCTTCTATTATGTGTGTATTTATACCACATTTTCTTTATCCATTCACCCACTGATAGAAACTTAGGTTGATTCTATATCTTGGCTATTGTGAGGAGTGCTGCAAGAAATATGGGGACATGGGTAATACTAATTTCCTTTCTTTTGGATAAATAGCCAGTAGTTGGATTACCGGATTGTATGGTAGCTTTAATTTCAATACTTTGAGAAAACTCCATACTGTTTTCCACAATATTCTCTCCAACAGTGTATAAGAGTTCCCTTTCCTCTGCATCCTCACTATTATTTGTTACTTTTCATCTTTTTCACAATAGCCATTCTCACTAGGGTAAAATGATAACTCATTGCGTTTTGATTTACATTTTGCTGATGGTTACTGATGTTGATTTTTTTAATAAACCTACTGGCCATTTGTATTTCTTCTATTGATAAATGTCTACTTAAATTCTTTGCCCATTTTATTGGGATTATTCATTTTGTTTTGTTGTTTCTGTTTTTAGTATTGAGTCCTTTGTATATTTTAGATATTATTTCATCACTGGATGAATAGTTTGCAAATGTTTTATTCCATTCTGCAGGTTGTCCTTCTTTCTGTTGAATATTTTCTTTGCTGTACAGAAGCTTTGTAGTTTAATCTAGCTGCATTTGCATTTGTCTATTGTTGTTTTTGTGGCCTGTGCTTTTGACGTCTTAACCATAAAATCTTTGCCTAGATGAATGTCCTGAAATGTTCCCACTATTCCTTCTGGCAGTTATAGTTTGGGGTCTTACATTTATATTTTTATTCCTAACAAATAACATCTTGCTTTTGGTGATTTTTCGGACATGTCTTCTTTAAATAGGAGTTAATTGGTTTTGTGTCTATTTTTTTGAATAGTTTGAAATTTGAAAGAGTGGCTATAAATGTATTCCAATTTAAATGTTATTCTGATTCATTTAAAAATTATATGGATTGCTAATTTAACATAGCTTATTCTATGGCATGCTATCTTTAAGATTATGCTATTGCCATATAGAAGATATTGAGATTTCTAGCATACAATAGCAATTTTTTGAAACACTATATACATGATTTAATTTATTATGATGAAGTGTGCATGTTTCTCCTTGTCTTTATATTGAAGATATTGTCATGGAAACTTGGAATTCATTTTTATTAAAATCATATGTTAATATCCAATGTGCTCTCTTCTGTTAGAGATTTAAAAGAGAAATTATTTCCAGCTTCATCCATGTCCCTACAAAGGACATGAACTCATCATTTTTTATGGAAACCGTCATTCTCAGCAAACTATCGCAAGGACAAAAAACCAAACACCGAATGTTCTCACTCATAGGTGGGAATTGAACAATGGGAACACATGGACACAAGAAGGGGAACATCACACACCAGGGCCTGTTGTGGGGTGGGGGGAGGGGGGAGGGATAGCATTAGGAGATATACCTAATGTTAAATGACAAGTTAATGGGTGCAGCACACCAACATGGCACATGTATACATATGTAACTAACCTGTACGTTGTGCACATGTACCCTAAAACTTAAAGTAAAATTAAAAAAAGAGAAATTATTTAAATTCAATTTCAAAATATTAATGAATAGTTTGAAACTCTGCAATATTTGGGGTAGTGAAGAACAAAATATGCCTATGTTTAATAATACAGGCAATTTGTGAATGCACATTCCTTTCTATAAGTTCTATATGTAGACATATATCACAAATCTCTGGATTTTTCTTTTCTTATGCACCTATTTTAATGAGGCAAAACTGAAATACCATGCAAAAATATTTAGCCTATGCAAAAAATATTACAATGTTTAAAAGCAAGAGATAAAAACAGATTTATTAGCTGAAAGGCAGGCTGGCTCAATGTGATCTGATCCCTTTGACAGTTTCTTTTAAGAAAAAGGCAACAATCCCAGTACTTGGTAACTACTGAAAGGAAATGGGATTGTATGAAAAAGACACACGCACATGTATATTTGTAGCAGAACAATTCACAATTGAAAAGATATGGAACCAACCTAAGTGCTCATCAACCAACAAGTGGTTAAAGAAAATGTGGTATACATACACTATCGAATACTACTCAGCCATAGAAAGGAATGAAATAATGTCTTTTACAGCATCTTGGATGGAGCTGGAGGTCATTATTCTAAGTGAAATAACTCAGTAATGGAAAACCAAATATTGCATATTCTCCCTTAAAAGTGAGAACTTAGCGATGAATATACAAAGGCATAAGAATTACATAATGGACTTTGGGGGTGAGGGATAAACGACTACATACTGGGTACAGTGTACACTGCTCAGATGACAGGTGCACAAAATCTCAGAAATCACCACTAAAGAACTTACCTATGTAACCCCAAAGCACCTGTACCACAAAAACAATTGAAATAAAAATAAAAATTTAAAAAAAGAAGCATCAATTTGTATTCGATTGACCTAAATAATCTAGGTGAATAGAGGGGTCTAATAGTAACAAAACTTTAGACCAGGCTTAGATAAAGCAGAGTAGAAGACAATTACTTTTCCTGGTAAAATTAAAATCATGATACCAAGAACTTGGGCACATGTTACATTTTTAGATTTTACTTTAGTTTAAATTGATATTATGGGGAAAAACAATATTGGTGAAACAAAATCCCGCTTTATAAGTATGAGGGAGCACACTTTGATGAGCTTACATAGATTTTGTTCGATAAAATGATAATCGGAAGCTTATGGAGCTGAGAGGACTTGAAAGAAAGAATAAGAAAAGATATTACATCCATAAGCAGCAGTGTGTTTCAGAGTACACACACTAATGAAGTTTGATAAGCAACATGATTTTCATCAAAGAGCAGTAGTTATTCTTTGATTAATTCTATCAAATTATGCTATTATGATTTGTTGAGGTTGATAATATTTACATTCCAATGGAGATGCTTTTAATAATTTATTCTTTCTTTGTGATAAAATATAATTCAAAATTTTAAGCTAGTAGAAGAAAACTGACTTGTTGAACATGGGCTATGGAAATCTTTGCTCCTCTCATTTTAGCTACCTATTCTACCTTTTGATTTCTGTTTCATCTTTATAAGAGACCTCAAAGCTTTTGGGTATATCAGAGACAGATTTTAATTTGAATCTTTGACACTTATTGTCATGATGGAGGTTAGGCACAGTAACTCATGCCTGTAATCCTAGCACTTTGAGATACTAAGGCAGGAGGATTGCTTGAGTCCAGGAATTTGAAACCAGCCTGGGCAAATAGTCAGATTTTGTTTGCTTAAAAAAAAAAAAAAGTGTGATGCTGGGGAAATATCTCTGACTCTCAATTCTCTCATTAGTAAAATTTAGATTAAAAATCAATCCAGTGGGATATGGATATTAGGTAAATTTTGGTGGCTTCTTTTAGCTCTCTTTTTTTCAGATTCTGTCCATTCTGTCCATATTATTTTTATGAAAATTGATTATCCTCAAAAGATACCACTCAAAGAAAAGCTCAACATTTGGTATCTCCCTTCAATATATTCATAATGTATATTATAGTCAATCTCACAGAGTGTCATTTCTTTTTCAAGGTTATTGGTGAAAATTACACCTTTCTGACCAATGCATCTATTGTATGTAATGAATTAACTTCTTTCCATGCACCTAGAATCGAACTGGTTATATAATTGCCTTACAAGAACTGAATAAAGCAATCTTTTGATCATTTTTTAAATGTTGGATTAGAAGAGAAACATCAGTCAAGACTAACATTGGAATGTGTGTTTATTTTGCTAATTTTAGCATTTTCCTAAATTCCTGTAAGATGCATCTAGAGTCATCAGTGGGCTAGAAATAATCTCTCTGATTATTTGTGTTATTTCAATAATTGTGTTATTTCAATTTAACTGCTCAGGTTGGTGAGGCAGAATGTGTAATTGTCAACCAAATAATTAGATTTCTTACTTTAGAGAAAACAAAAATAGTTTGAAATGCATATTTTACAAAAAATGCTTGCAAATTTTCTTCAGTTTGATCCTGTGTATTCCATGAAACTTACAGTGAAATGTTAAAGAACTTACCCAAGTAACCCCAAACTAAATTTTTTGACATAGATATCTTAACCCAAATCACCTGTACCAATTTAGTTCAAAAAACTTAAAATTCATTTTCTAGAAATTAGTTATATAAATTATGGTATTTTCCAACAATACAATACTATTTAAAATTTGAACAATGAGGCAGATCTGCAAGTACTGATGGGGAACAATTTTCATGATGTACTAAAGAAAAGGTAGAGATGAGTATTTTCAATTGCTACATCCTGTAATCAAACAAGCAGAACAGAAACTGGTAACTTGTGATTATGGGCTTGGGGAGCACATTTAGAGATGGATATCTTTTTATCATAACATTTTTTGGCTATTTAATTTTTTTTTACTATGTGCATCTGTTAATTCATAAAAATAAAATAGATAGTAAGAAATTAAACATGAAAAATATTTATTAGCGTGAATCCTCAATCTAAAGCATAAAATTTAATTCCTTTTTTATTAAATGGATTTATAATCTATCAATTCTACCTCTAAGTATAGACACAAAGGAAATAAAATCAATATGTCGAGAAGATATCTGTTCTCCCATTTTCATTGCAATGTTATTCATAATAGGCAAGATACAAAACTAACTTGTGTCTATTGATGGATGAATGGATTTTAAAAATGTGGTACATGAACAATGGAATACTATTCAGCTTAAAAAAAAAAGGAAATCCTGTCATTTGACACAACATAATGAACCTGGAGAACTTTAGGCTAGGCAAAGTCAAATACTGCATGATCTTGCTTATTTCTGAATTGAATTTATAAAAGCAGAGAGAAGGATGGTAGTTGCTGGAGCTGTAAGGAGTGGGGGAAGTGGTGAGATGTTGGTCAAAGAGTACAGAGTTTCAGATACACGGGAGGAGTACGTTCTGGAGATCTACTGTACAGCATGGTGTTTTAATTAATGATGTGCATATAAAATTGCTAAAAGAGTGTATTTTACATGATCTCACTACAAAAAATAAGTATGTGAGTTGATAAATATGTTAATCAGCTTCATTTAATCATTTCATGATGTAAACATATTTTAAAACGTTGTACACCATAAATATATACAATTTTCATTTGTCAATTATACATTTATAAAATGGGATTAAAATAAAAATAAATAAAAAATGCAGGCACATATAAAAAATGTTTCTAAGATGCTAGAACTGAATTAAAATTTTTTACATAGTTTACTACTGCTTTTAGAGTATAGTCAAAATTCTGAATAAAAATTAGCACATATGGAAAGAAAGTTATATTTACTTGTTACGATATCTATGTCATTTAAATTTTTCTGTAGTTATAAAATAGTAAGAATAAAGCATGCCAAAGAATTAAAAAAGAAAATGACCTTCAATATGTTTATACAAGCAATTCAACAAGCTACAAACAGAAATACCTAATGTAAATGATGAGTTGATGAGTGCAGGAAACCAACATGGCACATGTATACATATGTAACAAACCTGCACGTTGTGCACATGTACCCTAGAATTTAAAATATAATAAAACAAAAAAAGAAAAGAAGACAATAGAAATCCATGAATCTACCATTGAAGGAAATCACATTTTGATACATTTCTTTCTAGTCATTTTCTGAGCATATTTCTGTTTACATTATTAAAATCACGCTGTATGTAAAAAAATTTTAAGATAACTTTTCATAATATTGAAGCCTAGAAATAATGTATTCTTAAAAAATAAGTGATTGTTGTAGAGTCATAATCTGTGAATTGTAAGTTCAATGAAGAATGTTAATGAGTAATTACCAAGGTCCTTTACTTTTAATTACATAATTTTCCAGTTGAGACAACCTGCTGTCACCACCAGTAGAGTTAAGACATCCTTTTGCAGCATAGCAGATATTTATCATTAAGTGGGTTTAATTAAATTAATAGCAACCAGCATACTTTTATTTAATGCATTGTACAATTTTTGAATACTAAATTATCCACAGTTTGTGAAATTAACTTCTAAATGAATTTTAAGCCAGGAAAAAAAAGTTTTAATGTTTCACTTATAAACTCCAACGAGTAAAAGACTCCTTAGATCACTGTCACTTTGACTCTAAAATGTAATCTTTAAAAAAAAAATCAAAACTACTTAAGCATCACAAGTTATGCTAACAACAAAGTTATAAATTCCCTGAAAGAGATAATTTTTTTATAAAACCATTCTGCTAGCTCTAATACAGGTGTCCCTTTTTACTTAAGAAGCAACATTACGTCAAGTGCAGTAGTTCACGCCTGTAATCCCAGCACTTTGGGAGGCCGAGGTGGGCGTATCATGAGGTCAGGAGTTCGAGGCCAGCCTGACCAAAATGGTGAAACCTCATCTCTACTAAAAATACAAAAATTAGCCGGGCATGGTGGTGCACGCCTGTAATCTCAGATACTCAGGAGGCTGAGGCAGGAGAATCGCTTGAACCCGGGAGGCAGAGGTTGCAGTGAGCCAAGATCACTCCACTGCACTCCAACATGGGTGACAAAGTGAGACTCCATCTCAAAAAAAAAAAAAAAAAGAAACATTATATAAGGAACTTTATTTCTACAAAATCATTTTTCCTTTTCTATCACACTTAGAATTTTAGTCATACAATTCATTCTAGTTTTGTAAATGTACCATCTGACATTTATTTTATTCCAAGGTGCTATTATATGACTTAATATTTTTAACTTGTCAATTCCTGACTTTTTGTCCTTTTACAGCCTATTTTCTGCCTTTTAGTATTACTTTCTGTTTTTGATTCCTTCCTTCCCTATCACCACCACATATCATCTTTCATTCTATGTCTCTAGAAAATGTCCTCACATGACTTCTTCCTGTCTGGTCCCTAACTCAGCTATGATCACCTGACCTTGACATATTCTTTGTTTATTAATGCAATAAACACAATCTGTATTGTACTCTTCATTTATAATTTGCTTTCTCTAGCCAACTTTCCTGAGAGCAAAACTACCCAACTGGCCACACTTTTCTCTGACACCCTATAGTGCGATATATATCAAAATTGCTTTGTGGGATAAGTCAGTCACCTACTTTTACAGATATAACACTTCCTCAACTAAGAAAAAAACACTTCGGAGAAAATAATGTAATCTTTATTTTATCTCTAGAAATGCAAATAAAACAGTCAAAGTTCTTCAATCAGATGAACCCATAAAATATCCAGGTGAGTTAAAACGAAATAATTCTTCAGCCAAAACTTTGTCATGTGATGGAAAAAACCAACAATAGCAACAAGCTCTACTGGTTCAGTTCCAGTTTCTGAGGTCGCATCCATGACTATGACTTTTTACGTGTGTTTAGAAATTGCTGCATCCTGGCTTCATTTTTCTCCATTCCCTCAGTTTGATTTTTCTGCAGCTACAGACATTGTAACTGAGGTATCTGCATCTTCATCTTACTCTTTCCTGAATATACGCTTGTTTTTACTTCTTGTGATAAATATCAGTAATAATGACTTGCTTTCCCTTAACTCTGTAGCAAGAGAGATCTGTGGAAATTCAGATGGGTCCTCACTGGATTCAAGCAGTGAGAGAGGCCAGGCATGGTGGCTCACTCCTGTAATGCCAGGAGGAGTTGTAATCCCACCTCGCTCCTGTAATCCCAGCAGGAGTTTAGAAGACATGAGGTCTCGCTATGTTTTCCAGGGAGGTCTTGCTATGTTGTCCAGGCTGGTCTCTAATTCGGCCTCCTGAGCCTGGAAGATCGCTTGAGCCCAGAGTTAGAGACCAGCCTGGGCCACATAGCAAGACCACATCTCTACTAAACAGAAACAAACAAACAAACAAACACCAAAAAACGTAGTCGGGCATAGTGGAGTATGCCTGTAGTTGCAGCTACTTGAGAGATTGAGGCAGGAGAATAACTTGAGCCCAGGAATTTGAGGAAGCAGAGAGCTCTGATTAAGCAACAGAATGAGACCCTCTCACAGAAAAAAAACAGAAAAGAGGTTAGGGATAGATTGAGGAGAAAGAGAGTAGAGCTTAAATGGAGTCTAAAATTGTGCTAGAAATTGTGTCAGTTTCAATAGAAAAATAATGAAGCTGATTTGTTTTGCATTTTATTTATGTGTATGTATGTGTTTGTGTGTATATGTGATTTTGCAATTGATATTTTTCAAAATGAACTCACAGGTGCTGCTGCCTCAAATTCTTAGATGTTTTCTAATGTTTGTCCACTGCCTTTAAAAAGGAACAAAAATTTGGGGTGTTTAATATGCTTAGTTCACACTTCACTTCATTGATAATTTTGCCTACCTCGCTATACTTTGTTGTGATTTTTAATGTTGATTTTAATGTTTAATGTCCATGAGGAGAAGTGACTTGTTTCTGTCTTTTACTGACTCTAAACGGTTTGTTTCCTTATTTCTGGATGGCTAGAAATGAACTTTTATTAAAATTCAATCATAAGCAAGTGGCTTAGTATACATTATTCTGGAATAATTTTATCTGGAATATACGGGCCCTTTGAAACTATTTCCAAGGTTTTAAAAATTATATTTTAATGCACTGTCCAATTTGCTGGTTTCTTTCACAGGAATAAATGTTTTCCATGTTTTGGAAGGTCTTTATTCATTACATATCTATTATTGTCTTCCTAAATGCTTTAAACTTTTTCTTTTTTTTTTCACACACTATAATCTTCTCAACCTTTTCTTCTACTTCAGTAAGTTCAATGTTCCTTTTCTGATTTTCAATTAATTTTTTAGTATCTCTAATAATGCTTTATTTGTCTTCATTTTATTTTCTTAACTTAGTAGTATACGTCTTTATGTTTTCTTGTTATATTTTCAGCTTCTCTTTGTCATAGCTGTATTGAACTCATCTTTTTATTAATTTACATTTTCAAGTTTTTTCACATTTTCTTCTCTTTCTTGGCCTATATGTTGTACCAGCCAGGTTTTTCTTCTTTTTAATAATTAATTTTTATAAATTAATTAATGATGAATATGTAAGTAAACAAATGGAATAAATAGATATGATGGGAATTAGGAAAAATAGCTAACTGGCAAGTTATATATATATATCTTGGCAATCAGGTCAGGAGAATGAATGTTGAGTTCAAGAATTTTATACTCATTTATTTCTTTGGTTATCACTTTTTTAATGGTGACAAATCTTACATCATGTCTTATAAAGCTGCTTTAACAAAATTGGCATCTCCTCATAAACTCTTAATATGTAGACACTGAATTGATATGCTCTAAGACAGAACTCATCAGGTCACTGGAACAATGACGAGATAGAGTACATATAACAACTATTTCAGGTGTGCTCTTAATCTGTATGATTTTTATTGCATAAACTGAAGGAATTGGCTGAAACTACATTTTGTAACTGTTCTGTTACATTCTTTTCAGGAGTTGGAATAGATGAAATAAATGAATGTCTAATATGTGCCTTGCCCTGCCAGAACTATTTTGTATAGCACTCTGAACAAAATCCCTTTCATAATATTAACATATATTGAAAAATCCTTCTCACAATGAAAAAGCAAACCCATTATCTTATTCCAGCATAACTTATAAAATAACTATTTAAGTAATAAATATTTTCCTTTGAAGCTTTTTTAAAAAAATAAACTTTATTTTTTAAGAGAAGTTTCAGGTTCATGAACAAATTGAGAGGGATGTACAGAGATTCCCCTTATTCCCTCTTCCCCCCACATATGCATGGCTTCTCCTCTTATAAAC
This sequence comes from Homo sapiens, assembly GCF_000001405.40. Lineage (NCBI taxonomy): Eukaryota > Metazoa > Chordata > Mammalia > Primates > Hominidae > Homo > Homo sapiens. The sequence continues at coordinate 166,786,660 of NC_000003.12, read as the reverse complement.
ATGTCCTACCATAGTGGTACATTTGTTACAACTGATGATCCTACATTGACACATCACTATCACCCAAAGTCCATAGTTTACATGAGTTCATTTTTGGTGTTGTAGATTCTGTGTGTTTGGACAAATGTATAATGACATGAATCTACCAGTATAATATCATATAGAGTAATTTCACTGCCCAAAACATACTTTCTGCTCTATTTATGTATACCTCTTTTACCCTAACCCCTGACAACCACTGATCTTTTTTTTGTCTCCACAGTTTTGCCTTTTTAAGAATGTCATATAGTTGGAATTAAACAGTATGTGGCTTTTTCACTTAACATTAATTTAAGTTTTCTTCATGTCTTTTCGTGGTTTGATAGCTCATTAATTTTTAGCACTGAATAACATTCCACCGTCTAGATATCATAAAACAGCTTATCCATTTACATACTGAAGGATATCTTAGTTCTTCCAAGTTTTTCTGAGTATGAATAAAGCTGCTATAATCATTTGTGTGCAGATTTTTGTGTAGACATGTTTTCAATTCCTTGCATCAATACCAAGTACTGCAATTCCTGGATCATATGATAAGAGTATGTTTAGTTTTGTAAGAAACACGCCCAACTGCATTCCAATGTAGCTGTACTGTTTTACATTCCCACCACCAATGAATGAGAATTTCTGCTACTCCAAATGCTCATCAGCATTTAGTGTTGTCATTGTTCTGGATGTTGGCCATCCTAAATAAGTGTGTGGTGGTAACTTATTGTTGTTTTAATTTGTATTTTCCTCATTATATATGATGTGGATTATCTTTTAATATGGTATTTGCCCTCTCTATATCTTCTTTGGTTAGGTGTTGTTAAGGTCTTGGGCCTATTTTTCAATTAAGTTGTTGTATTATTTTTGTTGAGTTTTAAAAAGTTCTTGGTATATTTTAGATATAGGCATTTTTTTAAAAATGAAAATTATTTACAGGTTATATTAAACCCCATATTGCCTTCTGTAGGATAATGACCACTATTTTGTTGGTATCTGGCCATACAGATAAACTAAACTAAAGTAACTGTCAAAGTGGTCAAATTATTAGCTCACTCATTTTAAAAGTCTAAGTACAAAAGGTTGGGGACATTTTAAAAACATGTGAAACCTAAATAAAGGCAAATTTACATAAATAAAACAATTGGTGTTGTTGAATTCCATGATATTAATAACACATAAAACCACATGTCACAGAATCAACAATAGCAAGTGCAGTATATACAGAAACAAGACTGTTTATTTGCATTCTGCATTAAAATTAAATTGATAATGGGCTGAAAAATGTAACTAAAACATACTACGACTTGTGCTTGTGTCACAGATTTATCCATAGGTTTCATATATTCTAAATCTGTATTAAAAACTTTACTCTTTTAATTATCACTATCAGAACATTAATTGAGAAATGTATCTTATATACCAACAGGAACAATTAAAAGTTTCCTTAAAATAAAAATATAATCACATTTTTTTAAAAAAATGATAGCACTTGTCTGGGTAAAAAAATTTATCTTTCTACCAAGATTTAACTAGATTTGGCTCCCTTGTCTCCTTTATTATAACAAATATTTGAAGTCTACAAGCCTCATCCTTGCTGACAATGAGAAATTATCTAGCTCTAAGGTAGCATATTTTACTTTATGTATCCAGTAGCATTCAAGTCCTAATTGTGCCAATTAGAATGTGTCTGCATAAGAACTTGATTCAGTGAAATCTATATCAGTAGTTGAGTGCCTAAAATAATATTTCTAGGTATTTCTCCAAGGCAAATAAAAACATACATTCGCACAAAGACATGTGCACAGTGTTTTATGAAAGATTTATATAAAGTAGCTTAAAAACTGGAAATAATCCAAAAAGCTCACCAAAAGATGAATGAATCAACATATTGTGAGAAAGTCATGTGGGAATTTAAATTAGTTCATCCACTGTAGAAAGCAGTATGGAAATTTCTCAAAGAACTTAAAACAAAAATACATATGCATTCATATGTTCATCACAGCATTATTCACAATAGCAAAGATGTGAAATAAATCTAGATGCCCATCAAAAGTAGACTGGAAAAAGGTAATGTGGTATATATATGACACAGAATGCTACACACCCATAAAAAAGAACAACATCATGTTCTTTTCAGCAACATGGATACGGCTAGATATTTATCCTAAGCAAATTAACGCAGAAATAGAAAATCAAATATCAAATGTTATTTATAAGGAAAAACTAAACATTGGCTAAACATGGACTTAACAATGGGAAAAATAGATACCAGGGACTACTAGAGGGTAGAAGGCAGGGGACGTGTATGCATCGAAAAACCACCTATCGGTATTATGCTCACTGGGTGATAGGATCATATGTCAAACCTCAGCAACGTGCAATTTACCCATGCAACCAAACTAAACCTGTATCCTCTCAACTTAAAAGTCAAAAAAAAAAAAAAAAAAAAGAGAAGTAAACAAGATACTAACTTATTACAGCTATATAACAAGAAAATTATACAATTTTACTTGTTTATTTAATAATTTCAACTTTTAATTTTAGTGGGATATATACCCAGTAATGGGATTGTAGGGTGGAATGGAAGTTCTGTTTTAAATTCTTTAAGAAAATCACTGCTTTCCACAGTGGCTGACCTAATTTACATTCCAACCAACTATGCAACTATTTTCTTTCTCTGCAGCCTTACCAGCATCTATTGTTTCAGACTTTAATATTAGCCATTCTGACTTTTGTGAGGTACTATATTATTGTGGCTTAGATTTGCATTTCTCTGATGATTAGTGATGATAAGCATTTTTTTCATGTTTGTTGGTCAGTTGTGTATCTTCTTTTGAAAAGTGATTATTCATTTTCTTTGCCCAATGACAATTTTAATACTACATCTAGTGTGCACATATGCAGAAACCCTCATTTCCCCAGTGGTGCACATGCACCCATGGCTCCCCTTCCCCATTGGTGTGTACTCTTCTGCTGCTCCATCACTGCCCCATTGGTGTGCACTCACCTATGGCAACCCCCACTGGCCAACTGGTGTGCACTATTCATGGCCTCCCTGCTGCCCCACTGGTGTGCACTCACCTATAGACTCCCCAGTGCAGCATACTCTCTCTCAGCTCCCCGTCACCATGCTGCAGTGCTTTTTCTGGCATTCCCCATTGGAATGTTTCCTGTAGACCAGTAACAACTTGGCTCCTCCAGCACAGTAGATGCTTGTCCTCATGGGCCAGAGAACAAAACCACAAAACTGGTTTTAGTCCCTTAGGGCCAGAGCACACAGCCCAAGAGTGCTGCTCTGAGTGTTAACCCCCTAAAAGCATTCAGAAATGAAACCAACTGATTAAACCCAACTTAAACCACAGTCAAATCCTCGAGGGCATTGAAGAACATAAAAGCAAAAAGCCCAATCCAAAAGACAGCAACTTCAAAGATTAAAGGAACATCAGCCCACACAGATGAAAAAGAACCAGAGCAAGAATTCTGTCAACCCTAAAAGCCAGAGTGTCTTCTTACCTACAAGCGACTATACTAGCTCCACAGCAATGGCTCCCAGATTGAAATGGCTGAAAAGGTTGAAACCCAATCCAAAGAAATCAATAAAATGATCCAAGACTTTAAAGATGACATATCCATCTTAAGAAAGAATCAAACTGAACTTCTGGAAATGAAAAATTTACTACAGGAATCTCATAATGCTATTGAAAGCATTAATAGCAGAACAAACCAAGGTGACAAATGACTCTTAGAGCTCAAAGACCACTCCTTTCTATCAGCACAGGCAAACAAAAATAAAGAAAAAAATAATTCTAAAACATGGGTGAAATCACTGAGAAACATGGGATTGTGGAAAGAGACCAAACCTATAACTCATTGGCATTCCCGAAAGAGATGGAGAGACAGCAAGCAACTTGGAAAACATATTTGAGAATATTGCCCATGAAAATTACTCCTACCTAGCTAGAGAGGTTGACATGCAAATTTAGGAAATTCAGACAACCCCTGTGAAATACTGTGCAATATTATCATTCCCAACACACATAGTCATCAAATTCTCTAAGGTCAATGTGAAACAAAAAAGAAATCTTAAAGGCAGCTAGAGACAGAGGGCAGGCCACCTGCAAAGGGAACCCGATCAGGCTAATAGTGGACCTTTCAACAGAAACCCGACAAGCCGGAGTAGGTTGGGGGCCTATACACAGCATCTTTAAAGAAAAGAAATTCCAACCAATAATTTCATGTCTAGTTAAATTGAAGCCTCATAAATGAAGAAAAAATAAAGTACTTTTCAGATGACCAAATGCTAAGGAAATTTGTTACCACAAGAACTGCTTTAAAAGAAATCCTTTAGGGACTGCAAAAAATGGAAATGGAAGACTGATAACTGCCACCACAAAAACACAAATACGTAGATAACCCACTAAAACTATAAAATGACTATATTATAAAGTCTACATAACAACCAGATAACAACACAATGACAGGTTCAAATTCTCACATATCAATATTGAGCTTGAATATAAGTGGGCTAAATGCCCCACATAAAGTCAGAAACTGACATGTTGGATAAAGAAGCAAGACCCAACTTGATGTTATCTTCAAGAGACCCATATCACGTGCAATGACACCCACAGGCTCAAAGTAAAGGGATGGTGAAATGTCTATCAAGTAAGTGGAAAACAAAAAAGAGCAAGGTTGCTATTCTTATTTCAGACAAAACAGACTTTAAACCAAGAATGATAAAAAAGAACAATGAAGAACATTACATAACGATAAGAGGTTCAATTCAACAAGAGCAGTTAACTATCCTCAATATATGTGCACCCAACATTGGAGCACCCATATTCATAGAACAAGTTTTGAGACCTGTGAAGAGACTTTGATAACCTCACAATAATAGCAGGAGACTTCAACACACCACTGACAGTGTTAAACAGATCATTTAGGCAGAAAATTAACAAACATATTAGGGACCTAAACTTAACTCTTGGCCAAATTAACCTAAAAAACATCTGCAGAATACTCCACCCCAAAACAGCAGAATATACAGTCTCCTAATCTCAAAGCACATACTCTAAGATCAAGCACATGCTGGTATAGAAAGCAATTCTCAACAACAACAACAAAAACATAGCTCATACAAACCATACTCTTGGAACACAGTGCAGTAAAAATGGAAATAACTACCAAAAAGAGCTCTCAAAACGACACAATTACATGGAAATTAAACAAGCTGCTCCTGAATTACTGGGTACATAATAAAATTAAGACAGAAGTGAAAAATTACTCGAAACTAATGAAAACAAAGATTCATTACAGAGACTATTTTGGACATAGCTAAAGCAGTGTTAAGAGAAAAGTTTATAGTGCTAACTCACTACATCAAGAAGTTAGAAAGATCTCAAATTAACAACCTACCATCACACCTAGAGGAACACGAGAAACAAAAGCAAACCATTATTGAAGCTAGCAGAAGAAAAGAATTAACCAAAATAGGAACTGAACTTAACTGAATGGAATTAAACAAAAATCCATACAAAAGATCAACAAAACCAAAAGTTGGTCATTGAAAACAGTAAGATTGACAGACCACTAGCTAGATTAATAAAAAGAGAGAGAAGATCCAAATAAACACAATCAGAAATGGCAAAGGTGACATTACCACTGACCTTACAGAAATATTAAAAACCCTCAGAGACTATTTTGAGCGTTTCCAATTCTGTGAAAACAGATGTTGGTAATTTGATAGGAATAGCATCAAATCTGTTATTGCTTTGGGCAGTATGGCCATTTTAGCAATATTAATCCTTCCTATCCATGAGCATAGAATGTTTTTCCATTTCTTTGTGTCACCTCTATGCACACAAACTTGAAAACCTAGAGGAAATGGATAAATTCCTGGAAACATACAGCATCCCAATATTGAACTTGAAGAAATTGAAATCCTCAACAGACTGATAATTAGTTCTATAATTGAATCAATAAAAAAAAAACTAAAAGAAAACAAAAAACTACCAATCAGAAAAGACCTGGAGCAGACAAGTCACTGCTAAATTCCATCTGAAGTACAAATAAGAACTGGTCCCAATCCTACTAAAATTATTTCAAAAAAATGGAGGATGAGAGACTCCTCCCTGACTCATTCTAGGAGGTCACTATCATTCTGATACCTAAACCTGGCAAAGACACAACAACAACAAAACTCTTCAGGCCAATATCCCTGATGAAAATAGATACAAAAATCCTCAACAGAATACTAGCAAGCTGAATCCAGCAAAACATTAAAACCTAATCCAACATGGTCAAGTAGGATTTATTCCTGGGATGCAAGGTCAATTCAAATACACAAATAAACAAATTTGTTTCATCACATAAACAGAACTAAAAACAAAAACCACGTGATCACCTCAATCAATAGAGAAAAAAGGCTTTTGATAAAATTCAATATATCTTCCTGTTAAAAACTTTCAATAAACTAGGCATCAAAAGAACACACCTCAAAACAATAAGAACTATCCATGTCAAACCCACAGCTAGTACCATACTAAACAGCGAAAAGCTGTAAGCATTCCCCTTGACAAGTGGAACAAGATGAGGATGCCCACTCTCACCACGCCTACTCAACATAGTACTGGAAGTCCTAGGCAAAACATTTAGGCAAGAGAAATAAATTTCAAAACAATCAAATGTGAGGCAAGGAAGTTAAACTATCTCTCTTTGAAGAGGATGTAATTCTATATTTAGAAAACTCTATAGTCTCAGCTCACAGGCTTCTAGAACTGATAAATAACTTCAGTAAAGCTACAAGATACAAAATCAATGTACAAAAAATAGCAGCATTTCTATACAGCAATAAGGTCCATCTGACAGCCAAGACAAAAACGCCGTATTATTCACAGTAGCCACAAATAAAATGAAACAAAACAAAAAAATACCAAGGAATACATCTAATCAGGGAGGCGAAAGAACTCTACGTCTAGAATTACAAAATGCAGCTGAAAGAGACAACACAAACAAATGGAAAATGTTCCATGCTCAAGAATAGGAAGAATTAATATTGTTAAAATGCTCATACTGCCTAAATCTAATAAAGCTTCAACATTATTTCTATCAAACTGCCAACATCAGTTTCAATAGAATTAGAAAAAATAATTCTAAAATTAACATGGAATAAAAAATGAGCCCAAATAGCCAAAACAATCCTTAGCAAAAAGAACAAAAAGAGAGGCATGACACTACTCAACTTCAAACTATACTATAAGACTATAGTAATCAAAACAGAATTATACAGGTACAAAAACAGACATGTAGACCAATGGTATAAAATACAGAATAAAGAAATATAGCTACACACTTATAACTACCTGATCTTAGGCAAATATAACAATAAGTAGCAATGGGGAAATTACCCCCATCTAATAAATGGTGCTGGGATAAATGACCAGCCATAAGCAGAAGATTGAAACTAGACCTCATCCTTTCACCATACACCAAAATTAAGTCACAATGGATCAAATATTTAAATGTAAGACCTAAAACTATAAAAACTCTAGACAACATAGGAAATTTCACAGGTCTTGGAAAATATTTCATGATGAAGCCTTCAAAAACAATTGTAACAAAAAACGATAAATAGACAAATAGGACCTAATAATACTAAAGAGCTTCTGCACAGCAAAAGAAACTACCAACAGAGTAAGCAAACAACCTACAGAATGAGAGAAAACATTTGCAAACTATGCATCTGATAAAAGACTAATACCCAGAATGCATGAGAAACTTAAATTGAAAAGCAGAAAACAAAAAATACCCCCATTCAGACACAGGCAGAGACATGAGCACACACTTCTCCAAAGAAGACATAAAAGAGACAAACAAGCATATGAAAAAATGCTCAACATCACTAGTCATGAGACAAATGCTAATCAAAACCACAATTAGATGCTTTCTCACACCAGTTCAAATGGCTGTTGTTAAAAAGTTTAAAATAACAGATGTTGGTAAGGTTGTGGAGAAAAGGGAATACTTACACGCTGTTGATGGGAATATAAATTAATTCAGCTACTGTACAAAGCAGTGTGGAGATTTCTGAAATAACTTAAAATGTAATTAATATCAACCCAGCAATTCCATTACTCAGTATGTAACTAAAGGAGTACACATTGTGCTACAAAAAAGATGCATGTATGCATATGTTCATTGCAGCACTATTCACAATTGTGAAGAGGTAAAATCAGCCTAGATGCCTATCAACAATGGACTGGATAAAGAAAGTGAGGCACATATACACCATGGAATACTCGGCAGCCATAAAAAGAAATGAAATCATGCCCTTTGCAGCAGCATGGATGCATTTGGAGTCCATTTTCCTGGGTGAATAAATTCAGGAACAGAAAACCATATACCACATGTTTTCACTTGTAAGTGGGAAGCTAAACATTGGGTACAAATAAACACAAAGATGAGAACAATAAACACCAAGGCCTTATTGATTGGGGAGGGTGGAAAGAGGATGAGGGACAAAAAACTAGTCATTGTGTAATATGCTCACTACCTGGGTGATAAAATCATTTGTAAACCAAACCCCAGTAACACACAATTTACTCATGTAACAAACTTGCACATGTACCCACTAAACCTAATAAATAAATACAACAAAAAAATTAACAGGCAACATAGATATAATGGTTTAATGCTTTATTTTTCCTTCTTTCCTCTATTTATAATTCTGGTATGCAAATATGATTTTATAATGAAAAATAAATATGATAAAATATTCCCAATTATTACCTCTGTAATGGTTACTGGCAGAAATAAATTATATAACTGGTGAAGAGGAAAAAGTTTTTGGTGATCTCTATTTTTTTCTTTCTTTTTTTTTTTGTTCGTGGTTTTCATGTCAAATCTAAGAAACGTTGACTGATCTAATGTTTCCAAGATTTATGCATATATTTTCTTCTAAGAGTTTCAAAATTTTATCTTTTACATTTAGAAATTTTATTCATTTGGGTAACTTTTGTATGTGGTATGATGTAGGGGTTGAACTTCATTATTTTTTGCATGTGGATATTCAGTTGTCCCAGCCCAGTTTATTAAAACATTATACTTTTTGCTACTGAAGATTTTTGGTACCTTTATCAAAGATCAATTGAAAGTAGATACGAGGGTTTATTTCTGAACTTTCAATGCTGTTTCATTGATTTTCATGTCTGTCCTTGTGCCAATACCACACTGTCTTGATTACTGCAGCTTTACTGTAAGTTTGAAAATTATGAAATATAAGTCCTTAAATCTGCCCTTTTTTTTGCAAGATCATTTTGTTTGTTCTGGATCCCTTGAATTTCCATATGAGTATATTGTGTTTGGTACATTTTTGCAAAATTTGGAGAATATTTCCATCTTTCATTTCTGTGATCTATAAATATGAAATATCTTTCCATTTATTTATGTCTTCTTTAATTTCTTTTAGCCATTTTTGGACGGTAGTTTTAACCTATTAGCCAAAACCAAAAATGGTTAAAATAAAATTGGAAAGATTAAGTATCTCCTGAATTTTACTCTCTGTCTATAAAGTTTGAGTTGCAACCAACGAAAGACATTAGCTGTTATTGAAGATCAAAATAATTTCATAAAATTTTAGAACATCCTCAAAAAAGGAAGAAACAATCAGGATATTTGTTTTCACCAAGTATCTTAGACATGGGATAAGATTATGGAGGTTAACTATTCAGGATATTTGCTTGATTAAATCATATGGAAGAGTAAGCCATTTCAAAAAAAAATCTAGATATATACACACTTATTTTCACTGCTACAATTTTAGCTCTATTTCTTGGAAAATTTTACTGTATTTTAGATATTAGACACGATTGAAATGAAAATGAATATATTTTAGGTTACATTTCTGGTAACAGTGTAGTTGTTAAATGCAATTTTAAAAAAATCCTATTAAAAGTTTTTTTGAAAAAATCTAAAGTTTTACCCTTTAGTTTATGCACTGGGCAGAGTTTGTATTGTTCTATAGGCCCATAACTTTCTGTGAACTTAACACTCTATCTTCATGTCAAATGAGGAGGTAGCCTCGTTGCCTTTACAATATTTAGACTTTTCTACGATATATTCACTATGTAATTATTAACTTTAGGTTAACAAGTTATTTTAACTTTTTTTTTTTTTTTTTTTTTTTTTTTTTTTTTTGAGACAGAGTCTCGCTCTTTCGCCCAGGCCGGAGTGCAGTGGCGCGATCTCGGCTCACTGCAAGCTCCCCCTCCTGGGTTCACGCCATTCTCCTGCCTCAGCCTCCCGAGTAGGTGGGACTACAGGCGCCCGCCACCCCGCCCGGCTAATTTTTTGTATTTTTAGTAGAGATGGGGTTTCACCGTGTTAGCCAGGATGGTCTCGAACTCCTGACCTCATGATCTGCCCGCCTCGGCCTCCCAAAGTGCTGGGATTATAGACATGAGCAACCGCGCCCGGCCTATTTTAACTTTTATAAAAGTTTAGATGTCAAAGTAGTTGTAGACTGTTTCAGAGGTCTGACACATTGTTTTATACCACTTTTAACTAAAAACTCATATAATTTATATGACTAATGACAGCAACAGCAACAAAAACACATCTAAAATCCATTGAATTCAACATGATAGAATTGTCTTTTTATTTTATAATAATTATTCAGAAACATCCCATTAATATTTTCTTTCATTCTTCAACTCCTAACATGACTTTTCCTTTCTGCGTCATGTATCTTTTGATAACTATCACATCTGCATATAAGTATATGGTTTGATTGTGTCTCCACCCAAATCTTATCTTGAATTCCCGCATGTTGTGGGAAGGACCCAGTGGGAGGTAACTGAATCATGGGGGCAGGTCTTTCCCATGATTTTCTCATGATAGTAAGTCAGTCTCAGGAGATCTGATGATTATATAAAGTGGAGTTTCCCTGCACAAGCACTCCTCTCTTTGCCTGCCACCATTCATGTAAGATGTGACTTGCTCCTCCTTGCCTGCTGCCATGATTGTGAGGTTTCCCCAGCCATGTGGAACTGTTAGTCCAATTAAACCTCTTTCTTTTGTAAACTGCCCAGTCTTGGGTATGTCTTTATAAGCAGAGTGAAAACAGACTAATACAATAAGCTAGCACAATAGTGGAAGTGCAGATAGGGAGCACATTCCTTTTAAGTTCATGACCTTGAGGTAACACATGCTATGCTACTTCTTTTCAGCTGTCATTGGTCTTACATAAGTCACACGGTCACATCTAGCTGCACTGTAGGATGTGAAATGAACTTTAAAGTTGAATGACCATGTTTCCACCTAAATCCAGGAGCTGTATTTTTTCTTTTTTCTTTTTTCTTTCCTTCCTTCCTTCCTTGTTCCTTCCTTCTTTCCCTCCCTCCCTCCCTCCTTCCCTCCTTCCTTCTTCCTTCCTTTCTTTCCTTCTTTCTTTCTTTCCTTCCTTCCTTCCTTCTTTCTCTTTCTTTCTTTCTTTCTTTCTTTCTTTCTTTCTTTCTTTCTTTCTTTCTTTCTTTCTTTCTTTCTTTCTCTTTCTTTCCTCCTTTCCTTCTTTCTTTCTTTTTTTTTTTTTTGGAGTCTCACTCTGTCACCCAGGCTGGAATGCATTGGTGCTATCTTGGCTCACTGCAACTTTCACCCACCCCGGGTTCAAGTGATTCTCCTGCCTCAGCCTCCTGAGTAGCTTGGATTACAGATGCCTGCCACTACGCCTGACTAATTTTTTTATTTTTGGTAGAGACAGAATTTCACCGTGATGTCCAGGCTGGTCTCGAATTCCAGACCTCAGGTGATCCGCCAGCCTTGGCCTCCCAAACTGCTGGGATTATAGGCATGAGTTACCACACCTGGCCTCCAGGAGCTGTATTAATAAAGGAAGGTGGTTAAAATGAATATTGATAAAAAGTTATATTTTTTAAAGATAGGTTTTAGAAAACATATTTTGAGAGGAAAATTAATATATATACTATGTAGTAAATTATATATGTAGTTACATATGTGTGTAGGTGTATATGTGTGTGTGTGTCTTTGTGTGCATGTGTGTGTGTGCATTTATGTGTGTTCTGATTTGGCAGCTAGATCAGAAATAAAAGTCATCTTCAATTATTTCTGATCTAATTTTCTTGCCGCTAGGAAAAGAGCATTGTAAGGTAATGGAGTAACAGTAGGTGTAATATTTGAATGCTCTTATAATTTAACAACCTGAGTGTCCATCAATAGATGAATAGAAAACTAACCTAGCATTTCCTAAGCATCATGGGGCTGCTATGAGGACTAATTGAAATATGATATATAAAAATACTTGTCACACTGCATATGAACAGCAAATGTAAGTTAATGCCTGCATTTAAAATGATGACTTCCGGGTTTCTAAATCCAATGTTCTATTTTATAATTAATCATAATTAAATTGCGCACAACATTTGATGCAGATAACTACTTCCTTTTACTTTTAATTTTGTTCTTTTTCTTACTTTTAGATTACACATTTATAGTTTTCTTCCGACTTATTTGTGTTCATTTTTTTCTCTTGTATTCCCTTCTTTTTCTACCATATCTCTTAACATAGGAGTGCTCCATTGCCCATTCTTTCTCTTTTCTTCTCAAATGGAACTCACTCTCTTGGCAATATTATCCAGATATGAATTTAAATATTATAAATAGGGTGATAATTTCAGAAATTCTTATTGAACTTCTCAACTCCAGACTTTATACCCAATTTTTTAATAGATATATTCTCCTCAATGTTTAATGAACATTGCACATCCAAGTGAAGTTCCCGATCCACATCAAATCTCCTCTATTCAGTGTCTTCCACTTTTTAGGTTATAATAATTCCATTCTTCTAGGTGTTTAGACCAAAAACATGAAGTTGTCCTTGACTCCTCTCTTTATCACAAATTCCACATCAACATATCTATTACCCATGCATTCTGAATGGTATTAAAATATGACCTCTTATTCTTCTTTTGAAGGCTACCACTTTTTGTCAGATTCTCATCATTTCTTTCCTGGGTTACTGGTATCGTCTTTTAGCAAGTTTCTTGGCTTTTATTCTTGGCTTTTTATAGTCTATTATCAAGACAGGAACCAGAGAGCTGTGTCAAAAGGAGTTGTAGCTGAGGGGCACATCTAAGAGGCATTGTCTGTTAGATGCAGATCACAAGATACTAAACCTTGAGCTTGATGCTATAATTGAATGAGACTTCATGCTGTGTGGACATAATGGTTTTATGTTGCATGGAGACAACAGAAGTAATTGAAGCTATAGGTAAGACCAGGCCAAGGTAATTTGCAAAATATGGCAATAAATATGGCCAATTATCTATATCCCTTTGCAATGTGACTTTCCTACCTTTCCCATCAGAAGATGGAGTTTATTTCCCTACTCCTTTCTATTGAACTGGCCTTGCTTATTTAGATGAATAGAATATTATGAAAATGATTGTATGTAATTTCCATGGCTAATGTCTTAAAAAATCATCAGCTTCCTTTCTTGCTATTTTGAGATACTGCTCTTTGACTTCTCTATAAGAAAGTCAGTTTCACCTCCTGAAGCATAACTGAGTCATTCCTGTCAGGACCTATGGCCTGTGTTGTGAAAGACCATGTTGGACGTTCCAGATCACCACCCCTCTATCTAAATACTGTGTAAATCAGCTTAGGCAAAACCAGCAAAGGAAGTGCACAGGAAACAGGGAATTTTGGAAATAATAAATACAGGTGTTTTAAATCATTAAATTTTAGGATGTTTTAGAATGCAATAAAAAATTAAAACACATGACAACCCTAGCTGAAATAAAGTTATAAACTGTTCTCAATACTCATCATTGCTTATTCTATTCTTTTTTTTCCACATCATGCTGGTGATCTTTAAGAAATTAATTAACATTGATAAATTTTATTGTTCATCTCCTCTACAAAAGTGTCAGTACTGCAAAAGCATAAATTTTTGTCTGATTTGTCTAATGATGCCTGATATACATCAGGCGTTAATAACCGAACAAGTGGATAAATCTAAATTATGATATAGCATTATTACATTTAATATTTCTAAACAAAGTTAAATGATATGCTTTATCACTTGTATAATTGCATCATAAGTGGAAAACATTTTTTCTTGTTTTTTTATTTATATGGTATTTCTTAATTTTTCAATATTTTAAATATTATTTTTAATTTTTTCATAATATTTTAAATTTTTTTAAACTTTTTTCTTTCCTATGTCATGTTTATAAAATGAAGTTTATATGGGTGATCTCTACAGGCCTTCATATTCTGAGTTGAAAGAATTATGAAATATGAAGACTCAAATATAACAATTGCTATCAGAAATATTTTGTTTAATATTTGGAAACCTAAAAATCTATTCTGCTTCCAATGTCAGTTTGAAACCTAAACCCTGACACCAACTTCAAACAGCAAGTAAAAATAAATCAATTAGTAAAAGGCAGTTTCCAAAGAAAAGTGCCAACCTTTTGCATAGCTTTCAATGTCGATGGATCTCACATTTCACATACTGACTGGGAATACAAGTTTGTTTTAAAGAAATCCTACATTTGTGACACTAACCTCTCTACTTATCTCTCCTAACACCATATCAATAGATTAGTTTTAATGACATAAATTGTCCTCAGCAGGGCTGATGTTGACTCCCATGATTTTTCTGTTTTATGATTTAACAATCCCACAGAAACTCTGAATATTTCCAGAGGTATAATTTTTGCTTTTTTAGTAACTAAGTTACTTATGAACTGATAGATTCCCCTCTAAAAAATACAATGAAAATTTTGAAAAGCCCAATGTAGTAAATAATGCAGAATATGATTTGAAACATTAGAAATTAAATACTGTCCATCTCTCCCACTAAGTTATAGCATTCATATTAGTGGAAGATGGAACCTGATATTGTTTGGATATTTGTCCCTACCCAAATCTCATGTTGAACTGTAATCCCCAATGTTGGATGTGGATGTGGGTCCTGATGGGAGGTGTTTGGATCATAGTGAAATGGGAGATTTCCCTGGTTTTCCTCGCAGGATATGTGACGGGGTGCAGCTTGCCTGTTCTGTTGCCAGAGCTGCTCAAATCTCTGAGGGGAGGGGTAGCACACAGATGGGTAGGTGCAGGAGCCCAAGTGTGCATGTGTTACACTGTGCCCTTTGACCCTTGCCATCTACAGACAGCTTGAGTGTTAACCAGCTCAGTGGACTCTCTGCCTTTCTGCAAGGGCAGAGGGCCAGTGTGACCACTTTCTGTATCCCAAGCTCTTTTCCAGCATCCTGGAAGAATCGGGTCACACAAGGACTTAGGTGAATAAGGAGGTTTTATTGAAAGGTGGAGGTGGCTCTCAGCAGGACGGATGAAGAGCTGGAAGTGGGGATAGAGTGGGAAGATGATCTTCCCCTGGAGCCTGGCCTTCTAGCAGTGGAACCCCTCTCCAACTGTCCCTAGTCGAACTCCTCTTGGCGTTCAGACGTTCCTCCTTTTCTCTCTTTCTCTGCCACATCATTCCACAATTTGTCTTCTTGTCTCCTTGACTGCTCCTCTGCTTCTAGCGCCTGGGGTTTGGTGTTTATATGGGTACAGGATAGGAGGCGTGGCAGGCCAAAAGGCAACTTTTTGGGTGCAAAAACAGGAATGACTGTCTCCATTTAGGGCCATGGGTCTCAAACCTTGAGGGTGGGGCCTTTTCTGGGGAACTGCCCTCTTCTAGCCAGTATTTCCCTGTCTCCTGTCTGTATCAATGGATTGGATCACTTATGAATGTCTTGGGCCATCCCCTTGGTGATAAGTGAGCTCTCACTCTGAGTTCACAGGATATCTGGTCCTTTAAAAGTGTGCGACACTTCCTCCCCACTCTCTCTCTCTCTCCTCTTTCTCTATGTGACATGCCTATTTCCCCTTTGCCTTCCGTCATAATTGTAAGCTTCCTGAGGCCTCCCTAGAAGCCAAGCAGATGTCAGTACCATATTTCCTGTAAAGCCTGGAGAACTGTGACCCAATTAAACCTCTTTTCTTTATAAGTTACCCAGTGTCAAATATTTCTTTACAGCAATGCAAGAATAGTCTAATACACACCTTGTCTTACACTTTATATTTATCTTATTCTATTATGACTGTAAGTCTGAAAACAGCAGTTTCAAGAAGTTTGAGTCACCTTAAAAAATGCACTTTGGACATAAAGGAAAAGCACATGTGTCTCCAACTCTATACTCTTTTCACCATACTACACTTCTTCCGGTTTGCACTGAATAGCAGTGTTGCACTTTAGATTCTTTGAAAACTAATATTGGGATAGAGCATGGTTTCAAGATATTATTTAAAAGCAAACACATGTGAAAGAAAGGGGAAGAACTGGGATCAGGTATTGAAAAAAAGTCTGACTGTCATGTAGACAGGACAAACTCTGGGAAACTAGCAGAGGGTTTAGGAACAATTATTGTCTGTCACAGTGTCTCAGACTGGGCCAAGATGACTATGCCTTTATACCCGTACCTCTCTCAGTCACTAGATATGGGCTGACCTTAGGCGAATCCTGAAGGAGTTGACAGCTCCAGGCTCTCTGTCTGTTGCCTGCACACTCCACAGCCAGAAGACAGCAAGTCATTTCTTGAAGGGGAATTTGGACAACATATTTTGTGTCTAATACAGACATCACTTTTAAAAAACTGCTTTTTCTAGAATTTTCTACAATATTCCATATCTTTTCTGTCCTAAACATGAGCACTTAGGAAGAGAGTAAATCCCTTAGAAATGCCTTTAATTATGTAAAGACCTTAAAATCTCATGGATTCTAGCGATAAAAATAAAAGAAGTACTTGGGAAATAAACAAACTACAATGTAAAAATTTTGATCTTCTATAGGAAACGCTCCCTAACCCTTTAATATATTCCAGTTGGCACACTGAACAATTCCTATTATTTTGCATGCCACATTTTATTGTAATTTTTAAATCTTTTGTGTTTTTAGAAGTTCATGGAGGTTGAACAGAATCTTATTCAGCTTTATAATACATAATACTTACTAGAATGTCTAGCACTTATTAGACAACAAATTAATGTTTTCTGAGTTAATGTAAAATTTTCACCCCTGGCCAGATACAGTGGCTCACGGCTGTAATCCCAGCACTTTGGGAGGCCAAGGCAGGTGGATCACGAGATCAGGAGTTCAAGACCAGCCTGACCAACATGGTGAAACCCCATCTGTACTAAAAATACAAAAATTAGCTGGGTGTGCTGGTGTGTGCCTGTAACCCTAGATACTCAGGAGGCCTAAACAAGAGAATAACTTGAACCCTGGACTCAGAGGTTTCAGTGAGCTGAGATCACACCACTGCACTCCAGCCTGGGTGACAGAGCGAGACTCTGTCTCAAAAAAAAAAAAAAAAGAAAAAGAAAAAAATCACATCTTTCTCTCTTTACAATTCTGACACTACTTTCTCATTCCAGCTTTTTCTTCTTGACTATGTAGAGGGTTTAGTAAGAACACAGAAACAAAAAGATGCATAGTAAATCAATATTAGAATTCACAAAATTATTTTGGCAATTCTCAATAGAGACTAGATATTATTTAGGTATTCAAACAATAAAGTAAGTCATTTACTTTATCATAGCAATAAAACTTTTAGACTTCTCAAAGCAAATAATTTATATTTCTATTTTGTTTCTTCTGAAAGCAAGTTGTTACTTTAACTTTTTACTGGTCACTAGACAACTCACATATAAGAAGCAATAAATGTTACCTTATCACATATATCACATTCCTCAGAAAAAATAATAACTTTAATATAGAAACATTGAATAAAAATCTAAAGAAGGGAATAACTTCTCAAGAATATCATAAAAATGAAAACTACATTTCTAAAGGCAAACAGACAAAATGCAAGTACTGTGAATTTCCTTGCAATTTATCATCATTTGAAGGTTTTTATTCTTTGCTACACTATTTGCATTAGAGCCAGGTATGTTTCCATTCTCCTGGATTGCCTTCACTATCTCCAGATTATTTTTACAGCATCACCTCAAATCCTCTTTTATTCAATCCTTGATTTATTTCTGTTATAACACCATATAGTCTAACCCTTTAGTTTTCATCTTCCAGCAACTGGGGTACACTCTTTAAATTTTTAGATGTGTAAATTTTCTTGTTTGGTTTCTGTGATTACCTGAGTCAATTTCAACAGTCAAATTGACGAGTCATCTTAATTCAACATCATAGTATTTGATCTTCTTTATGTTTTACTCGATATTATGTCTGTTAGATGCATCTATGCCAATGCGTTTAAATAGTTTGTTGTTGTTGTTGTTGTTGTTTGTTTGTTTTTTTGAGATGGAGTCTCGCTCTGCTGCCCAGGCTGGAGTGCAGTGGCATGATCTTGGCTTACTGCAACCTCTGCCTCCAGGGTTCAAGCAGTTCTCCTGTGTCAGCCTCCTGAGCAGCTGGGAATACAGGTGCCTGCCACCAGGCCCAGCTAATTTTTGTATTTTTAGTAGAGATGGGGTTTCACCATACTGGTCAGGCTGGTCTCAAACTCCTGACCTTAGGTGATCTGCCTGCCTCGGCCTTCAAAATTGCTGGGGTTACAGGCATGAGCCACCACTCCAGGCCTCAAAACATGTAAACAAATAAATTTTGAAAAAGAAGTAGACAAAAAGGAAGGAAGGAAGGAAGGAAGGAAGGAAGGAAGGAAGGAAGGAAGGAAGGAAGGAAGGAAGGGAAAAAATTAAAGAAAAAAATTCTCTGGAGCTAGAAAAAATTGCAAATTATCTAGGAATAAAATTATAAACTTTAATAGGAGACATTAAAGAAAATCTAAATAAATGGTTGCAATACATTCCATGTTCATGGAGAATAAATGCCAATATTACAAACATTCTAAGTGTCATTAAATCTATCCCTATATTTAAAGCAATTCCACTCAAATTAGTTTACTTGTTTTGCTTTGTTATACATAAATGCTCTGAGTTTTGGAATAGTGCTCTTAGGTCCTGCAAATCTTGCTAAATTTTGCAATTGTTTTTAACACTGTGGTGATAAAAAAAAATGCACTGGGGATGTGGATAAAGGTATTTACAAAGGATTTAGTGGTGTCCTTTGACTTCTTTTTGTAAGCTGGAATTGATAGAAGGTGATGCTGCCCTCAAACTAGGGTATCCAGCTTCTATGGTGTTAATAATATCTCAGAAAGACAGAAACTACGTGGAGACACTTAGCTGTCAGAAGAAAGTGAGAAAATTACCCTAATGTATAGCAAGACCTTAAAGACATTTAAAGTGCCTTGATCCACAGAGACATGTGATGTTTTTAGATACAAGATGTGCAGAATGAAACAGGAATTGTTTGTACAACATGAAAAAATTTCTTACATCTGGATTTCAGAAGTCTAACTCTGCTGAAATAAAAAATCATGATTTTTTTCAACCTTCATTCTAGATGTAATAGAATACACAGACCCAGAGCCCACTAATTAAATAGCATTCTGTGTCACCTTAAGGAAATGTCCTGTGATGTCACCACAAGCCTATACAGTAATTATACCCCTGAATCTTTTCTGAGCAAAAGAATTTGATGTGACATCTAAATATAAAAGTCACAGGGGACAGAGTTATAGCCAGACATTGAGTTACAAAATAAAGTATCTAAGCAGACATTAATACAAGGATCTCTGATATTCCATCTTTTCTGTTATTTGAGTTGCGGCTTATGAATGCCAGAGGATAAAATAGCCCTGGCCTAATCCCATCTCACAGTGGGTTCAATGGGTTCACAGATGTGACCCATGGTTATTTTTCTTATGCCTCAGTGCAAGATTTAGATAAATTATCAGCTGGCTGAACCTTTCTATAGGTTACTTTACATGTGAAGTAACAGCCATTTAGTAGAAACTCAAATGTTTACCATCATTAGGCTCCATTGTTTTAAAAAAAGTGTTCTGAGTAATAAAACTACTTACCTAGTAGGAATCTTTACTCCTTTTTTTTTTTTTTTTTTTTTGATTCAGAGACTTGCTCTGTCACCCATGCTGGAGTGCAGTGGCATGATCTTGGCTTACTGCAACCTCTGCCTCCCAGGTTCAAGCGATTCTCCTGCTTCGGCCTCTGCAGTAGCTGGGATTACAGGTGTGCACCATCATGACTGACTAATTTTTATTTTTTGATTTTTTAGTAGAGACAGAGTTTCACCATGTTGGCCAGGCTCTTGTTGAACTCCTGGCCTCAGGTCATCTACCTGCCTAGGCCTCCCAAATTGCTGGGGTTACAGATGTGAGCCACTGTGCCCAGCCAGAATCCTTATTTTAAAGTTGAACCTGGTGCTCATGTTGAGATAATTATGGTCATAACTGGCTGTTGTCATGAGGCCAGCAGAAGTTAATATATTATCTGGAAGAGAGCTCATACCATGGTAACATGATTAGGCTTTGTGTCCCTACTCAAATCTCATCTTGAATTGTAATACCCATATTCCCTATGTGTGAATATAGACACAAGGTGAAGGTAATTGAATCATGGGAGAGGTTTCCCCCATGCTGTTCTAATGATAGTGAGTGAGTTCTCTTGAGATCCGATGGTTTTATAAGGGGCTCTTCCCGACTTTGTTCAGCACTTCTCCTTTCTGCCACCACGTGAAGAAGGTGCCTTCTTCCCCTTTGCATTTTGCCATAATCGTAGGTTTCCTGATGCCTCTCGAAACATGAAGAACTGTACTGTGAGTCAAACCTCTTTCCTTTATAAATTACCCAGTCTTGGGTATTTCCTTATAGCAATGTCAGAATGGACTTATTCAGTAAATTTGTACTAAGCTAGTGGGGCATTGCTATGATACCCAAAAATGTGAAAGCAATTTTGGAACTGGGTTACAGGCAGAGGATGGAATGTTTGGAGGGCTCAGAAGAAGACAGAAAGATGTGGGGAAATTTGGAACTTCCTAGAGACTTGTTGAATGGCTTTACCCAAAGTGCTGATAGTGATATGGACCATGAAGTCCAGGCTGAGGTGGTCTCCGATGGAGATGAGTAACTTCTTGGGAACTGGAGCAAAGGTGACTCTTACTAAGCTTTATCAAAGAGACTGGCCACATTAGCCCCCTGTTCCAGGAATCTGTGGAACTTTGAACTTGAGAGAGATGATTTAAGGTATCTGGCAGAAGAAATTTCTAAGCAGCAAGGTGTTTAAGAAGTGAATTGGGTGCTTTTAAAAACATTCAGTTTTACGTATTCACAAAAATATGGTTTGGAATTGAAACTTATGTTTAAAAGGGAAGCAAAGCATAAAAGTTTAGAGAATTTGCAGGCTGAAGATGCAATAGAAAAGAAAAACCCATTTTCTCAGGACAAATTCAAGCTGACCACAGAAATTTGCACAAGTAATGTGGAGCCAAGTGTTAATTGCAAAGACAATGGGACCAGAGCATGCCATGGGTCTTCATGGCATCCCCTTCCATCGGAGGCCCAAAGGCCTAGGAGGACAAAATGTTTTCATGGGCTGGGCCAAGAGCCTTGCTACTTTATGCAGTCTCAGGACTTGGTGCCCTGCACCCCAACCTTGGCTAAAAGGGGCCAAAATACAGCTCAAGCCATTGCTTCACAGAGTGTGAGACCTGAGCCTTGGTCGCTCCTACCTGGTGTTTGGTCTTGAGGTCACAGAAATCAAGAATTGAGGTTTGGGGACCTCCACCTAGATTTTGGATGATGTATAGAAATGCCTGTATGTCCAGGCAGAAGTCTGCTGGAGATATGGAGCCCTCATGGAGAACCTTTGCTAGGGCAGTGCAGAAAAGAAATGTGGGGTCACAGCCCCCACACAGAGTCCCCACTGGGGCACTGCCTAGTGGAACTATGAGGAGATGGCCAACATTCTCCAGACCCAAGATCCACCGACAGCTTGTATCATGCACCTGGAAAAGCCACAGACGCGAAACACCATCTCATGAAAGCAGGTTGGATGTTGGCTGTGCCCTACAAAGTGACATGGATGGAGTTGCCCAAAAGCATGGGAACCTACCTCTTGCATCAGTGTGACCCGGATGTGAGACATAGAATCAAAGGAGATCATTTCGGAGCTTCAAGATTTGAGTGCCCTGCTGGATTTCAGACTTGCATGCAGCCTGTAACCCCTTCATTTTGGCCAATTTCTCCCATTTGGAATGAGTGTATTTACCCAATGCCTATACCCCCATTGTTTCTAGGAAGTAACTAGCTTGCTTTTAAATTTATAAGTGAGAGGGACTTGCCTTGTCTTAGATGAGACTTTGGACTTGGACTTGTGGGTTAATGCTGGAATTAATTAACAGTATGGAGGACTGTTGGGATGGTACGCTTGGTTTTGAAGTGTGAAAGGGACATGAGATTTGGGAGGGGCCAGAGGACGAATGGCATGGTTAGGCTTTGTGTCCCCACCCAAATATCATCTTAAATTGTAATCCCCATAATCCCCATGTGTCCAGGGAGAGACCAGGTGGAGGTAATTGAATCATGGGGGAGGTTTTCCCCATGCTGTTCCCATGATAGTGAATGAGTTCTCAGGAGCTCTGATAGTTTTATGAGACTCTTCCTTCTTTGCTCAGAAATTCTCCTTCCTGTTGCCCTGTGAAAAAGTTGCCTGCTTCTCTTTTGCCTTCTATCATAATTGTAAGTTTCCTGAGTCCTCTCCAGCAATGTAGAACTGTGAGTCAATTAAACCTTTTTCCTTTACAGCTTACCCCACTTCAGACAGTTTTTAGAGTAGTATAAGAACAGACTAATACACTAAACATGAAGAGCAAAACTCAATCATGAGATGTTAGCTGTAAGAATAAAAAAAAAAATCTAAGTATTCCATGATTTTTTTGGACTTGTCTCTGCCTCCCAAAGAGTTATGCTTTAATGCAAAGGAAAGAATAAAATCTAAAACGACCATTACATTGCAAATTCCTATATAAACCTGAGGAGCAAAGTGCTAATTGATCGATAGAACGCAATGTTAAAAATATCATAAAATAGAAAGTGGCCTTCCCGTCATTTTACTATGGAAGTGGTCCAGGAGATTGAGGGTTTTAGGGCATTAGTTACCCACATGTATGGGAACCAGTGGGGAAAATCTTAGGCAAAAAGTTAACAATAAAGAATAGTGCTTAGCCGAATGGGCAGTGTTCCCTATTGGTACAGGGATATTCACAAATGCTCAGCAGATGTAGTGAAAGTGCCCAAGAAGGCCTGCAACAGTGTTTGGATGGTGCTTCTTTGGAGATAGCAGAGAAAGTGGAGAACTGAAAGCAGAGTTGGTCTAAAAAATTGTTACAATTTCTTCACCTGCAGCTTAGAAAAGATAGATTTACATCACACAAATGTCTTACCTGGTAGGTACTCCAGTGGAAGAGTTATTTTTTTTCCTTTATGTCATCCAAAAACTCTTATTCTGTTCTGTTGCTTTACCATGCTTTAAGAAAATACACGCTTTTCCTATCTTGTGGGATATCTGAGCGTGTTCTTGACAATGTAAAGTTTAAAGAAAACCATTAGAGGCATGTGACATCTTTTTAAGGCATTTTCTGGAATCAGTCCTTATAAATGTTCTCACATCTATTTGATTAAAAGCTAATCATACACCTACTCCTGGTCACAAGACTGCCAAGCAAAAGAGGGTTGCATCTACTAAAACGAAGTCTTAATAGCAGATAGTACTCTTGACTCAAAAACTCAGTGAATGTAATAGTGCTTAGATAGGATATAAGGGCACAGAAACAGAGAGGTGGCAAAGTGGAAAACAAAAACAGAGACAGGAAAGCATGTCCCATGATATTTGGTTTGTTTTATGGACAATCTAACGTCACTCAAGGATGTATTTGACCAACTTTTCAATAGGCTCTGGCAAAAAGCTGAGAATAAAATTAAAATTAAAATAGGGATAAAATATAGTAAAATATGTATACAAAAATATAGCCTTATATGTTTATAGCAGCACTATTCACAATAATAGCAAAGACGTGGGATCAGTTTAAAAGTCCATAAGCAAATGAGTAGATTAATACATTATGATATGTTTATACACAATGGAATATATTCAGCCATAAAAAAGAATGGAATCATATTTTTTGCAGCAACGTTGATGGAACTGGTATTCATTATCTTAGGTGTTACAACTCAGAATCGAAAAGTCAAATACCACATATTGTTACTTATAAATAGAAACTAAATGAAATATACGCATGAACATACAGAGTGGAATAACAGAATTGAACACAAGGGAAGGGTGGGAGGAGGGTGAAAGATGAGAAATTACTCATCTACAGTATAGGATATTTGAGTGATGATTACACAAAAAGTTGGGACTTCACCGCTACACAATATACACATGTAAGAAAACTGCACTTGTACCAATAAGAGAGAAAAATGTAGATCATATAAGTAATTACTAACTAGCCAACAGATATTGAACTTATTTATAGAAACTTTATGTCTGAGTTGTATTCATGACCAAAGGAACATAGGATTTCTTGTGAAAAAAAATGTAAAGCTGGAATTAGAAATAAAGTACAAAATAGTAAATTAGTGAATAAGTTTCAAGTTCAAAATAGACACTAATACTCCAAAAACAAGCAATTACTATAAATTTTCAAAAATAAGATATATGGTAATAGAATTCAAATGCTGTATGTCTTCTATTAAGAAACAAAACTGCAAATCTTAAAGAGTAGATAGTACATCTGTTCTAATTAGTTTATCTTCCTGACTTCTATTTTCTCTTCCTGACTTCTCTTCCTGACTTCTATTAAGAAACAAAACTGAAAATCTTAAAGAGTAGATAGTATATTTGTTCTAATTATTTTCTCTTCCTGCTCAAAATCTACTTTGCACTAATAACTTCTCAAATTGTATGAAAATGATATATATCTCTTCTTTTTTTCTACCTAAAATATAATCTTGCTTATGTAATTTACTGCATTATTTTTTACTTCTTAGAAGAGGAAAAATAAATGGAACAGAAATAAAGCATATACCATTGAAAACACAAAAATGTGAATTATGAAATATTTAATTATTTCTCCTGAGTTATGTCACCCTGCCACTTTTGAAAAATTATATCACCTACTTTTGTTATTTTACTCATTACTAATATTTTTAAGAAAGCACCCTTCTTTGAAAAATGTTTTAAAGTTTGTTACAGCCTTAAATTTTTGAAGCTGGTTTGTCAAATAGTTCAAAAAGTTTAGAAAGAAATTGTCATTTTAAATGGAAGACTGTTTTTATGTATGGCTAAATGGGCTGCTTATTTCAATCATAAGAGAAATGTTAATAAATGTTAATATCATGTTGCTTTTGAATGTAAAACTCTCAAAGGGCAGAAATTATGTTCTTCTGTAACTGTACAGGACTTGGTGCATTGTGATCGTTTTTGTTCAAATAACTTTCTTTACTTGCATTAAGATTGCTACAGAACCTATAACTTGTAGAATGATTAGAAACATTTTTACAAAATAAATGGAAAGCTTTTTCAACACTGTTTTATACAGGTATCCATGCATGAACAGAATCCGCTTATTTGAAATTGTACGATGATCCTATGACTTCAAATATACCAATAGTAATACTAGTAATAACAATAGCTCATCAGGTGTGATAATAATCTTACAAGTATGTTTATATAAATTGTTTGGTTTCATACTCACAATAATCCTACAAGCACTAATGTCATCCTTTTACTTGGATAAAGAAACTGAGACTTAGAAAGGATAATTATCTTGCATAGAGTCACATAACGAAGAGATGAACAAGCTCAGATTTAAAAATACTGTCTCTAGAACTAAGACTTTCCACCTTAATGCTATAGTACGGTAATATGATTAAAACAAAATGCTGTACAGAGCAAGTTATCCAATATTAGAGCTTTTGTCAAAACAAGCAACTTGTGTTCTTTCCCAGAGAAATATATTCCGTAACTTATCATTTCTGCCTTTATTAAGACACTAGGCATGAAATACTAATTGCTGTGTTTTAGTTCACACTATTTTTATTTCTTTAAAGTATTCCTTAACTCTATCAATTGAATCAATTTCAAGCTGCAAGAGCAGCTTCCAGTTTTAAATTCACCTTTGCTAAGTACTTAATTGAAGCAGTTATTCTTAAAAACATT
Organism: Homo sapiens; assembly: GCF_000001405.40. NCBI lineage: Eukaryota > Metazoa > Chordata > Mammalia > Primates > Hominidae > Homo > Homo sapiens. The sequence continues at coordinate 166,760,509 of NC_000003.12, read as the reverse complement.
TGACTGAGGAAAAAAATATTTTGTGTTTGTTTTGTTTTCTATTTTTAATTGCAAAAAAAACTTTTAAAATAGAATGTGACTAATTTAGACCATGAAGATTTAAAACAAAACCAAAATCGAAAATCTAGTTATACGGACAACGCAAGTGAATAAAGAAACAGTTTACTTTTGACGAACCAGAGGGCTCCACACGGTCCTGGGGCAAACACACACAAAAAAGAAATGTCTTTATGTGTTTCACATGTACCTGTAATTCTAGTGACATGTTTTCACCACTTCCTCGAGGGTGTGAAAAGTTCATTCTTACTACCAACCATCCTCTCTTAGTACCAGAAAATAAGTTAAGAATTGAGAAACTTAAAACAGTGTGCTTGTCCGAGGGAAACGATGGCTTGGGATGAAGGGATGACAGGAAAGGCTGTGGGATAAATAACCAAAGCCAGAATCTAGATGGAAAAAAAAAAGATGGAGCCAAGTGATCAGGTGGACTGACTCTGAGTTCTCCTGAGTGGCCATTGAGAAACGACTACAAGTCACACTGCCTGGTAAATTACAGCAGAAATAGTGGAGATGAGTTATATATTTCAGACTAGTCATGAGAAACTGTATTTACTTCAAGCACAGAAACCACTCCCCTGATGACAAGATGATTAATAGTTCTTTTCCCTTACTGCAAATACCCTGAGAAAGGAATAAATGAATGGCAAGGAAGAGCCATGAATTTGTCTCAGCACAAGTATTGAATTGACTGAAAGTGACCTTCACCTATCAGGTTTGAGGTGTTTTGTTTTCTTTTTCTGCCTTCAGTGTAAATGGAAAATTGTGTACTAAGTTGAATTCTTCTATGGAGAAATAAAGCTATGATTTTGCACACCAAAATGCTAACTTTAAAATTTAAAGCTTTTAAAATATTTTCTACAGCCAAATCCTGACAAATTTTACTCCTTCACTTTCACCTAGATAAACAGTATTAAATTAATCACATATTATTGTCCATTTGAAACTTTATAATCTTTATTTTTTAATGTTCATAACTACCTAGTTCTACAAAATAATTTGATTTAGATATTAAAGTTGCAGATACTATAAATGATACTCTAAAGAAAAGCCATGAAATAATGAAGCAGTGTTGGGAAAATTATTATGCTGTGATATGGTTTGGCTCTGTGTCTCCACCGAAATCTCACCTTCAATTGCAGTAATCCCCAGGTGTCCAGGGTGGGACCAGGTAGATGTAATTGGGTCATGGGGGTGGTTTCCCCCATGCTGTTCTCATGATAGTGAGTGAGATCTCAGGAGATCTGATGGTTTTATAAGGGGCTCTTCACCCTTTGCTTAGCACTTTTCCTTGCTGCTCTATGAAAAAAGTTGCTGGCTTCTCTTTTGCCTTTTACCATGATTTTTAGTTTCCTGAGGCCTCCCCAGCAATGCAAAACTGTGAGTCAATTGAACCTCTTTCCTTTATAAATTACCCAGTTTCAGGTATTTCTTCATAGCAGTTTGAGAAAAACTAATACATACTAGAAATCAAAGTTCAAGATAAATGCACATATTTTGCCAAGTGCGGAGGCTCACTCATGTAATCCCAGTATTTTGGGAGGTTGAGGTTGGTGAATCACTTGAGGCCAGGAGTTCAAGACCAGCCTGGCCAACATTGTGAAGCTCCATCTCTACTAAAAAAGCAAAAAAATTAGGGGGGTGTGGTGGTGCACACCTGTAATCCCAGCTACTCGGGAGGCTGAGGCACGAGAATTGCTTGAATCCCAGAGTTGGAGTTTGCAATGAGCCGAGATCGTGCCACTACCCTCCAGCCTGGGCAACAAGAGTGAAACTCCGTCTCAAAAAAAAAAAAAAAAGGAAAAAAAGATGAATGCATATTTTTGTGTGGCTTCCTGGAACCCAAATTTAAATGTAAAAATATGAAGATGTAAAAAGTTCATAATCTGAAAATATAATAGTTTATAAAACTAGGTAACCTCTTTTCTAGTACATAAAACTAAAATAAATTCACCTCAGATATATATCTTCATATTCAAATATATACTATAAGTTTTCTATTGCTAATATAAAAAATTGCCACAGATTTAGTGGCTTAACACAACACATATTTATTATTGAGTAGTTCTGGAGGTTAGAAGTCCAACGTGGGTCTCACTGGGTTAAAATCAAGATGTTAGCATGGGAACATTTTTTCCTGGAGGTTCTATAGGAGAACCAGCTTCCTTGATCTTTCCAGCTTCCATAGGTCATCTCCAGAATGATGACTTGTGACTTCTTCTCCATCTTGAATGCCAGCAATGTAGCACTCTAACTTCTGCTTACTTGATCACATTTCCTTCTCTCACTCTGACTCCCTGGCTCCATTTCTCACTTATAAGGATTTTTGTCATTATATTAGGCTCAATGGAATAAGGAATAATCCTGGATAAACTTCCCATGTAAAAATTTTAACTTTCTAATAAACTCCCTTTTGCCATGTAAGATATTCCATAGTTCTGGAGATTGAGGAGTGAACATCTTTGGGGGTCATTATACTGCCAACTACACATAGATTCATGAAATTATTGCATATTATGTGAAAACGTCAATTCAGTTATTTTCATATTAATGCACTATTACACTAATAGATTTAAGGAAAACATCTTAAATGTACTTCTTAGCAGATCTTTATATATGTAGATAGATTATTAGGTTTATGTAGATAGATTATTAAGTTCATGTAGATAAATTATGATGATTTGTGGTAATAAAGCTCAACACAGGTTGCACATATATTCAAATGTCTAAAGGTAATTATTCAAAAATTGTTTACTTAAAATTAAGTTTTGGGTATAGTAATATATGAAGCAAAGTTACCATCTTATTATGAAATTCATTGAATCTTTGTTGGTATGTGAGAGAAAAAACAATGTTATATGTATATGGAAGATTTTCTGTTTTTCTCTCTCTCTGTCTCTTTCTCTTTCTTAGTAACAGCTATATTGAGATATAATTCATGTGCAATTATGTTCCATCTTTTGAAGAGGACAATTCAATGATTCTCAGTGCATTAAGAATACTGTGCAACCATCACTTATACCTAATCTTAGAATATTTTCATCAACCTCCCCCAAAACAATATTAGCAGTTACTTTTCAGTACTCTCTGCCCACAGCTCATGATAAACATCACTCTACCTTCGTTCTCTATGGATTGGCCTATTCTGTACATTTCATTTAATGAACTTATGTAACATATGGCTGGTTTCCTATACTTAACATAATTTTTCAAGGCCCATTTATATTATAGCACATATCTGTACTTCATGTTTTTATCTTTTGAAGTGCTTTATAATTTTTTAATTAAAGACTTTATTTATAAAGACAGACTTTATTTTGAGGCAGTTTTAGATTTACAGAAAAGCTTATTGTAAGTACCCTCTCTCTAAGTACAAAGTTTTCATATACCCCCAATACTTCTCCCTGAAGTTTGCCATTTCCCATATTTTAACCTATTGCATATAATGTTAGCTGCAGTTCTTTTTTTAAGATTTTCTTTTTGAAATTGAGAAAGTTCCTCCTTTACTCCTAGTTTGCTAAGAATTTTTATCATAAATGTTTCACCAGATGCTTTTTCTGCCTCTATTTATATGATCATATTAAGTTTGAATGTGGAGCCTTGCAAATGTGGAATAAATCTCATTTGGTCATGGTATATAATATTTTTATACAATGTTGTATTTAGTTTGTGTTGAAAAGTTGTGCATCTGTGTTCATGAGAGGTAATGGTCTTTCTATAGTTTTTTTTTTTCTTTTTCTTTTTTTTTCTCTCATGTCTGTGACTGGTTTTGGTGTTGGGGTATGTTGGGTTCATAGATTCAGGTAAGAGGTATTCCTATTCATTCCTTCTGTTTTCTAGAAGAGATGGAAGAAAAAGGTATACATTTTTAAAAAATGTTTTCTAGAACTCACCAGTGAACTCATTGGAACTTGATAGTTCCTGTTTTAGAGGTAACTTTGTAAATAGGTCTAATTTTGTAAATAGATATTTGTTTGTACAGATTACCTATTTCAATTGGTTTAAGAAGAATATTGCTCTCATAATATTGATTTATTGAGCTTTTAGTGTTCATGGGATTAGGAACAATAGCCCCTCTTATATTTCCAATATTAGTAACTTGAATTTCCTCCCCTTTTTAATTAGTTTGCCTCTCTGGAGTTTTATCAATTAATTAATCTTCAAGGAATAAACATTTAGTTTTGTGGGTTTTTCTCTATTGATTTAATGTTTTCAGTTTTATTGATCTTTTTAAAGAATAAACTTTTGGTTTGTGGATTGTTCTCTATTTTATGTTTTCAATTTTGTTGATTTCTGCTATAACTTAAAATTAATTTTCATTCTGAATACTTTAAATTTTATTTGTTCTTCTTTTTCTAGTTAGCTAAGGTGAGATCTTAAATTATTGACTCTTCTTTCTCAACATACGCATTCAATGCTATCAATTTCCCTCTAATAGCTGCTTTTTCTGCATCCCATAAATTTTGGAAAGTTGCATTTTCAAAATTATTTAGTTTATTTTTTATTTATGTGCTATTTGGAAGTGAGTACTTAAATCTGTGAGATTTTGGGCTTATTCAACTATATTTTAGTTAATAATTTCTAGTTTAATTATATTCTGGTCAGAAAGCATATTTTATATGATTTCTACACTTTAAATTTGTTAAGGTGTATTTTATAGCAGAAGCTTGGATCTGACCTCTCATTTCTTATAACATTATTTTTATTTCCCTTATTCATAAGCTATAACCATCTCTTAGATAAATTAATATTAGGAATAATAAAATACTTTATTTTTATTTATGTATTCACTTATCCTCTTTCTTTCTTTATGTAGATCCACGTTTCCAACCATATTACTTTTCTTCTTTCTGAATAATTTCTTTCAATATTTCTCATAAGGCAGGTCTACTCACAGTGTTCTCTCAATATTTGTTTGTGAAAGTATTTATTTATCTTCAGATTTGAAGAATGATTTTGCTGAACAGAGCACTCTAAATTGATGAAATTTTCCTTTCACTACTTCAAATGTTTGTCTACCCTTTTCTTGCTTACATTATTTCTGAAAATAAAAGTCCTAAAATTCTTATTTTTACACCTCTGTTGGTAAGGTGTTTATTTTTTTCTTCCTCTGGCTTCTTTCAAGATTATCCCATTGTCTTTGATCTCCTGTAGTTTGAATATAATATGTCTGGATATGGTTGTGTCAATATTTTGTCAGCTTTTTGTTTTCTCAGCTTCCTGGATCTGTAGTTTGATGTCTATCATTCAATTTGGGAAGTTTGCAGTCACTATTGCTTTAAGTATGTCTATGTTACATTCTCTTTTTTTTCTTCTTTCCATATTCCTATTAAAAATATATTGTGCTTTTATGATTATTTCACAGTTATTTGATATTCTGTTCTTCCTTTTTAATTTTTTTCTTTGAATTTCAGTTTTGGAATTCTTTATTGGCATTTCTCGGTTCTTCAAATTCATGGATTGTTTTCTCATTTGTGCCTTTAGTGTAGCAATGAGGTTTGAAGGGAGGGGAGATGTTCAAATTCCCATGATTAGGTCTGAGTGTTTTAGTGAGCATGGTCTCATGGGCTGTGACCTTCTTAAATGGTGCTCAGTTTTTTTTTTTGTTGTTGTTGTTGTTTTGTTTTGTTTTCCTTATATATGACAAGGAGCATAGAGGGAGCTGGAGTCAGGGATTTTTCTTCCCCAGGATGGTTAGGCTCTAGCAGAACCCCAGTTGGTTAGGCTCTAGTAAATCACCTTCTTTTGAAGTCAGGTGCTGATAAAAGAAACAGAATGCTCTGGGCATATTTCAAAATGGCTCCCCATAATGACAGCAAGAAGGAATTTTACTCTGATCTTCATTGTAAGGATCTGGTAGGGTTCCTACAGATAAACTTCAAAGACATATGAAACCCTCCTAAAATTGGGCACCCCTGGCATTTTTAACTCTTAAACTTATCCACATTGAGCTTTGAACAATTTTTCAATTGCAATTTCTCTTTTCCAACTCTGGTACTGGTTTCCACAGGGATCTCTGTTCCTGGGCTTCTGCTTCAGTATGCTGTGATTATCTGCATCTGCCTCTCTGCCTTTCCAATTTCCATCGCAGTAGTTTTCTGTTACCTGACCTCTTTGATGAATCTCAGAGAGTTGCTGATTTTATTCAGTTTATTGAGTTTTTTGGTGTTATTATGACTTCCAAGCTGTTTACATACTGCGTTAGAAATCAAGTGTCACTTCTTTTGTTTTTATTGCTGAATAATATTCCAGTGTATGTATCTTAGATTCCAGTGTACATATATTAAATCCTGGAAGACTTCCAAGTCTTAAAAATTGATGATTTTTTATTATATAACATTCTCAGTTTGCCTTGGAGATATATTTGAAATCAAGCATCATTATTTCTTGCTTGACATATCAGAGTGAATTAGCTGTAAGGTCTGATAAATTTTTCATCACCCTCACCTTCAGATTAAAAATTCTGAAATGATTGGTCAATACCACATTACAGAGTGGAAAAATATGGAATTTAGTTTTGGGGGATTCTGTAATGGAAGATGGAATGTATATCTCATCACAGCTCATCTTGTAAGGAAATTCTCAAATGAAACGAAGGGTTTGAGATGGTGGTCCATCCAAAATAATAATAAAATTTAATTGACCAGTATCTATATACTTTGTCTCCAAATACTTTTATTTACAAAGATTAAACTTAACTTCAGATAAGAAGATGATGTAATTTTACCACAGAAACCCGAAAATGCATTCCCATGTCTCCTTTGGAGACAACTCAAGGCTTCATGGGTTACTGAAGATTCAAAGTAAGATGTGTCACTAACTAATGTCCTCTTTTCGTATAGGTGTGTTAAAATCCTGTCTTATATTCTGCTACTCATGAGGTATATTTTTAAATCTACTCTTAACAATAGTACTATAATTGATGAATTAAAGGGAGCAGAAAGAAGAAGCAAGATTTAAAAAATATATATGTGTTGATGATGCTCTATTTTGTGGAGAGATGGGTACACTGTAGCATAGAGAATGCTGTGGTTCACATATTGGTTTTTAATTTTTTTAATTATTCATTTTTCTTGTCATATAGGAAGGCTATTTTCTCAAGCTCCTTTGTGACATTATATGGACCCTGGGTTTATATTCTGGCCAAAAGGATGTAGTAGGAACTTTTAAATATCTCTTGTAGGCCTGTCTACAAAATTCTCAAACAATAAGTCTTACTTTATTTTTCCTATCTGCAGCAAGTTTGGGTGTCACATGCTTAAGATTACAGTGACACAAAGATTGAATAATGATGGATCTCTGAGATGTTGCTTGACAGACAGCCTCCATGAAGAGTCAAGCAAACTGTTTCGAACTATGACATAAGCAAAAAAAACCAAAAAAATATGGTAAGTCAAAAGATATTTCAGTTTTATTTGTCACGGAAGAAGAGCCTGGCCTACTCTGACTAATGCCTATACCATGATACTGCACAAAGCAATCAGTAAGTGAAAAAATAGTAGCCTAAACAAAATATGACAGGCAGGGAAAGAAAACATAAATATTCAATTATTTCGGTAAGGAAATTTTATGGTACTCTCCATAATGGAAATGAGAAATGATCTATTCTCACCACCACATTGCCTTCTTGGGTTATAGTGCATAATGGAGGACACATAATTTAGCATATTTGATTAAAATTTGGCCACTCAGGATGGGCAATAGCATGATAGAGGGATCAAGGATACATAACCTTCATCTTTTCTTTCATGAACTTTTTGCTCATATGCCCATTAAGTAAGTGCAAAGGTGGCAGGGAAAAGGCTGATTTCCACAGAGTAGGCAATCTTGCTGTTATTATATATTATCTCCCCCTGTAAAGTTTTTAGAAATTATTCATTTATGGAAGGAGTTAGTAGTCTCCTCATTTGAGCTGCATGCTTCTGAGCATGCCTACATTTATGCCTAGATGAATCTAACACCAAAACACAAAATAGTACGGAGTTGCTCAAGTAACATAGTCACTTGGCATCTGATGGACAGGTACTTAGTTTTCACCTGGGTCTGTTTGCAGATCAGCAGCTATTTCTCAAAAGGAGTATATTTACTTCCTGGAGCAAGAATGACTGTGCTCCAAAACCACATGGCCTCTCTGCTGTGATTGTGATTCTCTTGTTGGGTTTTGCAACATTGCCACAAGATCAATAAAGTATCTTGATCGCTCACAGACACTCTTCACATTTACTATTCTGCCTTCAGTTCTTTCCAACTCCTGAAATCTGTCCATTGTGCCTTTGGGATTCCCTGTTCATTATTAGTAAAACTCTTTAGATTCTCAATAGATTCTTCAAACACTTATTTTACTTTCTTCCTCCAATGGAAACTTCGCTCTCTCTAAGTACACTGTTTACCCTGTAGCATTCCAAATTGTTTTTCTTGTAAACACACACATACACATACACATGCATACACATGCATGCACACACACATACACAAGTTTGGAAGAAAATGGGGGGAATGAACACACTGATAGTTCCTCTTGCCAATTTTAGGCATTTCCTCCTCTCTTCCTAACAATTACCAAAATTGATTTGTGTAGTATCAAATGCCCACTGACCCTCATTGTTGCAATTATATCCCAAGCCCCAGGTCATCTCCCTGCATTTCTTTACAATATTACCTTCTAGTCAGAGTTAATCTTGCCAGACACACTTTCTCTTAATTCCTCTACTCATTTTGTCCTCTGTTCTACCTTAAACATCAACTTCACCTCACTCTTGGATACTGCTTCCTATCTTCCCAGACCACTCCCCTTAATGCCTCAACTTTGATACTCTTTGGCTACCCTAAGACATCCAATCCATTAATTCCACCACATTTTTACTGTCTCTCAAGTGTCTGAATTGTTTAACTTCTCTCATTAACTATGTAAATTTTAGCGGTTAATATTTAGTCATTCCTTCAATGTAGCCTTCAGCATTGGACATGTCTTTTGTTCTTCCTATTCTCAACAAAATTACAACTTTACAGAATCTTTGCTGCCTATTTTATATCTGTGATTGTGCGACTAAATTTGGAGAATAATATCTAAGAATAATAAAGAAGTCTTATTTTAAATTGGTAGTCATAAACATTACGTTGATCCTTAATGCTGAAAAACGGAAAAGCAATAATTATTCTTCCATTTTTCTTGATGTTAGTTTTTCTCTTTTCTCAATTATTCATCCCCCTACACAGAAAGAAACTGGATTTACACTCTCACCTGAAACAATCCCCACCTACGAAAAATAGCAGACAAAATATATGGTGGAATAAAAGTTTTGAAGTCACTGTACATGAGGTTAAAAAAACAGCAACCTTGGGAGACAGGCAGCAAATATGTTTTTTGTTTATTTACCCAGTTTACAGCATTTACTTTTTGGGCTGAGGCACAGAAAGAGAAACCTAGATAGCGCCTGATTGATTGACTTTTTTTCTCCATAATAGGTATTATTTTCTTCCCTTTTTAAATTACATGCCTGATAATTTTTATAAAATACCAGACATTGAGATTTTACTTTCTTGTCTGTGAAACTTTTAAATTACTTGGAAACATTTTATCCTTTGGGTATTAACTTTAAGAATTACTGGGTTAGATCAGAGCAGTCTTTAGTCTAGGGCTAATTATCTTCCATTACACAAGCAAATTCCTTGAACTGAGGAGGTTGAGGTCAGTGTCTAGGGAGACAAGGGTAGAGAAGACAGCTGCACAGAGAACTCCTGAGATCTGTAGAGTATCCCCTTTTATAACTCAGGAGAATATTGATTGGAGATTAGGTAGGAAACTACCTAAGGCTAGAAAAGAAGCATTTGAAAGTATCAGAGGAAACTTGGCCCAATACTTAAACAAGGCTGGGAATAGTGAGTTTCTATTGGCCAGTTGGAAAACCACATAATTTGCAGGGCATTGGAGAGAATACAGAGAAGAATTTTGCTTGTGTAATGGAAGATAATTAGCCCTAGACTAAAGACTGCTCTGATCTAACCCAGTAATTCTTAAAGTTAATACCCAAAGGATAAAATGTTTCCAAGTAATTTAAAAGTTTCACAGACAAGAAAGTAAAATCTCAATGTCTGGTATTTTATAAAAATTATCAGGCATGTAATTTAAAAAGGGAAGAAAATAATACCTATTATGGAGAAAAAAAGTCAATCAATCAAAATTGGCTCACACTACTCAGATATTAGAAATAATAGACATGAGCATATTAGAAAGTTATAACTGAAGTTCACATGTTTAAAAAGTTAGAAATAGTTATCTAAGATATAAACATGACCTAAGTCAAACTTCCAAAGATGAAATCAATATTGTCTGAGATGAAAAAAAATACACTGAATGGGATTAGAGGTAGATTCAATATTGCAGATAAGAAGAGTAGTAAATTTGAAGCTACAACCACAGGACCTATCTAAAATGAAACACACCAATAAAAATCATTAGAACAAGTGAAAAGTTAGTTCATCACTGAGCTGTTGGACAACTTTAATTGGCCTAATATATGTGTAATTTGAGTCCCTTAGATATATGAAAGAAAGGCTGTTACAAAAAATATTTGAAGAAATAATGACTAAAATATTTCCAAAATTGTCAAAAAATATATATCTAAAAACCCAAAAAGTTAAACAAGCCCAAGCACAAGAAACACATATAAAACTATACCAAGATAAGTAATAATTAAATTTTTTTTAAAACAATGATAAAGACAAAATTGACATATGGGGTCTAATTAAACTTAAGAGCACCTGCACAGTAAAATAGACTATCAACAGAGTAAATAGACAACCTACAGAATGGGAGAAAAATTTTGCAAACTATGCATCTGACAAAGGTTTAATACCCAGCATCTATAAGAAACTTAAACAAATTTACAAGAGAACAAACAACCTCATTAAAAAGTACAAAAGATATGAATAGACATTTTTCAAAAGAAAATATACATGCAGCCAACAAGAATTTGAAAAAAAGCTCAACATCACTGATCATTAGAGAAATGTAAATCAAAACCACAATAAGATAGTACCTCACACTAGTCAGAATGGTTATTAAGGTCAAAAATAACAGATGCTGATGAGTTGTGGAGAAAAATGAATGCTTATACACTGTTAGTGGGAGTGTAAAGTAGTTCAACCATTGTGGAAAGCAGTATGGTGATTCCTCAAAGAGCTAACAGCAGAACTTCCATTTGACCCAGCAATCCCATAACTGGTATATACTCAGAGAAATAAAAATCATTCTACCATAAAGTCACATGCATGTGAATGTTCATTGCAGCACTATTCACAGCAGCAAACACAGGAAATCAACACAAATGCCCATCAATGACAAATTGGGTAAAGAAAATATGGTATATATACGTCATGGACTACTATGCAGTCATAAAAAAGAAAAAAAGATCATGTCTTTTGCAGAAACATGAATAAAGGTGGGGACTATTAGTTTTAGCAAACTAACACAGAAACAGAAAACTAAATACCACATGTTCTCATTTATAAGTGCAAGCTAAATGATGAGAACTCATGAACACAAAGAAGGGAACAACAGACATTTGGGTCTACTTGAGGGTGAAGGATGGGAGGAGGGAGAGAAACAGCAAAAAATAACTGTTGAGTACTAGGCTTAATACCTGGCTGATCTAATAATCTATACAACAAAACCCTATGACACTAGTTTACCTCATAACAAACCTGCACATGTACCCCTGAACCTAAAATAAAAGTTATAAAAATAAATAAATATAATATATATATAAAATTCTAAAATAAATAAGAGGCGAAAAAAACTTACTTTGTGCAAAGGAAAAAATAAAAGTAATAGCAGATTTCTCATCAGAAAAATGCAATATAGAAAAATGTATTGCAACATTTTCAAGTTACACAAATATAAAAATAAACAAACAAACATCTAATTTGATATTCAGCAGAAATAAGTTTCAAAATTAGAGGGTAAATTTCTAGTTCCAGGATGTAATGTTGTAGATTCAATTTTCCTTGCTACTCTTCTCTAAATAAAACTAAAATCCTTGGAAATAATTCAACAGCCGGCTATTACATGGTTCTGAAATTTGGAAAGAAAGTGGACTGTCTAGGACATCAGAGTTTGAAGAAAGATGCCAGAATGGATTGCTTGTGTTTTTGTCTTATCGATCCCCAACTGTGGGTGAAGATGCTTGTAACCCAGAACCACAAGTAAGTATAGAAAAAAGTAAATAAAGTCGTGTGCAGTGGCTCACGCCTGTAATCGTAGCACTTTGGGAGGCCGAGGGGGGCAGATCACAAGGTCAGGAGTTTGAGACCAGACTTGCCAATATGGTGAAACCCCATCTCTACCAAAAATACAAAAATTAGCCGGGTGTGATGGTGGGTGCCTATGATCCCAGCTACTGAGGCAGGAGAATCACTTGAACCCGGGAAGCGGAGGTTGCAGTGAGCCGAGATCGCCCCACTGCACTCCAGCCTGGGCAACAGGGCAAGACTCCGTTAAAAAAAAAAAAAAAAAGAAAAGTAAAAGAAAGAGAGAAAGAGGGAGGGAGGGAGGAGGGAAGGAAGGAAGGAAGGAAGGAAGGAAGGAAGGAAGGAAGGAAGGAAGGAAGGAAGGAAGGAAGAAAGGAAGAAAGATAAAAATAAAAATATACCCTTCTTTGCCAAAAGACAGGGAAAAGGAAAGCCTAGCAAAGATTTCCTTAGTGGTAGGCACCCCTTCTGACTTCTGACTGAAGCCTTTAATATCTGTAGTCATTAACAGGAATGCGTATAAATAAATAAATACAAAATTAATTAATTAACCAAATTATTTTACTAAATAATTGGATGCCTATTAAGTAAATATACGTCCGGAACTGTCTCTGCCACATGATTTTATCTTCAGGAAGTTTATATTTTAGTTCAGGAGACACTAAGTAAGCAATTATGATCAGTGTAATAGAAGTAAACATAGGGATCTATAGGAGTATGGAATTGGGGGTCTCAGACATGATTGAAATTATGTAAATGTAGGTATAGAATTTTTCTCACTGGGAATGATTCTTGGGCTAAATTTTAAAATATAAATAAGCATAATTCAGGGGGAAAAGGAGAAAGGTGTTCCAAGCAAAGGCGACAGCATGTGCGAATATAATAAGATGGGAAACAGCATGTTAATTGTTATTTTCAGCTACTATTACACCTTAATAGTTTAAACAACACTGAGGAAATAGATGAGTTCCAGAGACGAAACTCAGAACACCTGAACAGAATCACATTGTGGCAACTAGGAAAGCAGATACTGGCTGAAAAACTCACCTGCAAACATGCTGAGAGTAATGTTGTGCCATATTTGCTTGGCCATCTGGCAATATTTCTGAACTATGATGTCAGACCAAGACAAAAATTTGGCAAGCAAGGTAAATTATGGTACTCAAAAATTAATGACCATGTCTCCTACAAGCAATAAAACCAAGTTACTGGGTCAGTGTTATGTCTTCTCAGAATGCTCTGTTAATTGGGCCTCATTCATGTCTTTTTTCCTCACTGTACTTTCCCCTGAAGGCAAAATTTTTATTTTCTTATATGTGTATACTATAAAACTAGTTAATACCATGCCTTGTTCTCATCTACAAGTCATTTTTATATCTTCCAGAAGACTGTTAATGGGTATGTGTTTATTTCCTACATGTCAGTTTTATATTTCAAATTTCAGAATTCACCATTTTCCCAAGATATCTACAACTTTGCAATGCGTGTCCTTGCAGGTAGTCATCAAGAAGTAGATTATACTTCCCCACTCTTAGATTGTAGAGTGGCTGTATGCCTTGTTTTAACAACAACAAAATGCATAGACATTTGTGGTGTGCTAGCTCTGAACTTAGACATCAAGACGAATTGTGTGTGCTAACTCTGTCTCTTGAGATCACTGTGTGAATAAGCCCAAACAAACCTGCTGAAGGATGAGAGGCCATCTATATCAGAGTCAATTCACTTCAACTGAAACTATTAGACATCATCCATCCCCAGCCTATTTCTAGATTTATGCAGAAGTCTGACTGAAACTAAATTTCAAAGATGAATAAATATGTATTGTCCTATGCCATTGGATTTATATGTGGTTTGTTTCACAGCATTAGAGAAGCAATACATAACACATAAAACGCTATATTACTAAAGGTGAATAGTGATGCTATAATATGATCTTGTGCCTGCTCTCTCTTTATCCTTGCTAAAGTATACTTGCCACTTTTCTATTAGGTTGCCCAAAAGTACTTAATTGCAAAGTGGAGAGTACCGTTAAAATTTAAATTTAAGTGCATTGAAATGTTTGCTGAGTGCTATAAGTGTGAGAATCACCTTCTTTTTTTTTTTTTTTTTCAGTTGAGATGCAATACTTGTTCTCAATAAGACCTCAACATAAAAGCCAAAACATGGCCACCTGCAGAGGCAAGATGTACCTCTGACTTCATATCTGGTTTAGATGCCACACATGTATCAAGAGGATATGAGAAGGTTTATCACTCACATAATGAGACTTTTTAGGAACCCAGGACAACTAACAAGCAGGTACAAAAATAGCCTGAGAAAGCCAGGAAAGTTTATTTTTTTAAGGTAATTGGGGATGTGGCTGGGTGAGAATTCCCTTATGTAGTTTGCACTCTCCTCTAGTGCCAAAGGTGCAGGCTCTCCTGTTAGCTTGTGCAGATACAGGATGAAAGAACAAGAGGCAGGTGTGAGTTATAAAAGTGGTCAGAAATCAGACATCAAAAATGATGTGAAAGCCTTTATTACAATCAAATGCTGATGGTTACCTGATGATGGAAACATGGCATATTTCATTCAATTGAATTGGAACTTTTTCAAGTAAGCTATTATGTTTCCCTATGCAGCCTAGCACCCCAGATCGGTGAGGGAGATGGAAGTTCCATTGAATGCCTGCTCAAGAGTCAAGTGCTGTGTGTTGTGAGAATTGATATGAATGCCTCGTTCACTATCCCTGATATCCGGAGCTCTAAAAAGGATAAGGGGTATGTTGATGAGGCCTTGTCATGTGGCTTATATTGTAGATGTAGAGAGACATGTGTGACCTACTTTAAATATCTATGAGAGGTAAGAGATTTCTACAGTTCTTTACCCCCAAAAAAGGCAACCTTGGTAAGAAATTATTATTGCTGTCATTGGATTGCCAGATAGACAAACTAGAAGGAGGGTTGAAGTTTAAAAGCTGTCAGCAGGGAAACATCAAAAAGGAAGTCAGTTTATTACAAGGGCAAAAATTAAAATTATATTTGTGAGAGATTATATTCATGAAACACTTGAAAATGGAAGGCACAGGTTTACTTTAAAATCATGTATAATTCTTACTATGGCAATAACGTTTATTAGGTATATGTGATTAAAGAAGGAAAAGGTAGAGAAGTAAAGACTAGTGAAAACAAAAAACTATACATGGGACAAAATATAGATTGGTAATTATCAGAAGGAATGAGACACAGACACAATTTGGAAAGGGAGATTTTAGAAAAAGTAAGTAATCAGTGAGATAAAACTTGATTTCTACATTTTCATTTGGAATATGTGCATATAATTTATCATCCATAGTTATTTTATATTTTGATAGTTTTATAGTAAAATGGTATATATTTGTGGGAGAAATGAAATGCAACATCACCAAAAATCATAGCACTTCACATAGTTTCTTTCAAAAATTAATACACAGAATATATAGAATAATAAAACAGAATATTAACAACAAATAACTTTATAAATGTTAGTTTTTTTATTTTTTCCTAAGAATGTAAAAAGATTGATTTTATAAATGAGGAAAATTTAATTTACAGTGAAATTTTTAAATCTTAAATGCAATAGGATATAAACCAATGTATAGTATATTTAATATAAATACATATAACAAATAGACTGGAAATATAATCATATAGTATATATTCTTTTTTAGCAGATGTATTGATATATACTTAGTACAAAATTCACCCATTTAAAGTGTGAAATCCAATTTTTAAATTATATTAACAGGATTATTTAAGCATCATCACAATTTAATTTTATAGCATTTATTGCTCTTAAAATGAAACACATGTGTAAACTACAGGCTTTAGGTGAAAATTATATGTCAGTGTAGGTTAATCAGTTGTAACAAAGGTACCACTCTGGTTGGGAATATTGATAATGAGGGAAACTATGTATATGTTGGAGCAGAGAATATGTGGGATATCTCTGTACCTTCCTCTATTTTTTCTGTGAACCAAAAACTGCTCTAAAATATAAAGTGTATATATATATATTTAAAAGGTGTATGAGTAATGATGATAAAACGTGATTTGGAAAACACTCACAATACATAAGAAAGAAGAACTTTTTGAAGTCACTGGAAAGCATCCAAGAGCAGATAGAAGCCTGTAGATAGTTACTCTTTGAAATACTGCAAAAGGAAAGGATAAAATTTAGAGCTGTAGATTGTCTTTGTGGCTGTCTTCACTGAGGGCACATCCCAATACAACAGTTACAGCAGCACAAAGCCATAGCCTTACATGCTCACTGTGGCAGAGAACAAAGTTCAGGAATGTATAAAAATAGCTGGGAACTAAAACACGAAGCCCTAGATTTAAGAGTGCCACAGAACAACTAAAAGAATGGGAGTAAATTTATATATACATCTCCCAAATCCTTCATTGATCTCTAACATATAAATGTCTAGGGGACATCCCAGGGTTTTTCTTCCCCCCAAAGCAGAAAGAAACCAGAAAGTGATCTACACATGAATGAAGAAAACTCACTGTGTAACCTCTGCAAGTGTGGGGCTTTGTTGATTGTGCCTTTGTGAATCTATGAGCAGCTTTGGGAGCAGAACGCTGAAACACTAGTGCTTTGGTGTATTGAAGGATATAAAACACACAAATGGCAGAGAAAGTGGAAATTTACAAAGAAAGCCCCAGAAGTAAGACAACCACAGAAAGGGTGAGGCTAAACCTTTGAGGATAAACAGCTGAAATTGTCTGTGTAGACACAGAGGACATCCATGGGAGCCAGGCTAAAAAACAAAACAGAAAAAAGTCAGCAGCAGGAACCTGAAAAAACTGAGAGAAGATATCACATTCCCGAGATATATAGTTTTCAGTGTGAGTTCAGACAACTGAATTGTCTACTAGAAAAGCAACCCAACAAATTTTATAAGAACATAACATAAAGTGAATACAATGCATTTTCTACAATATCCAGTCTTTGGCCAAAAATTAGTAGATATGAAAATTAAAAGAAAAATGTGACCCACTCACAGGAGGAAAAAATGCAATTAATAGAAAATGATTCTGAGGTGTTGTTGTTAATATTTCAAATCAGGCAGTTTATAAATATGTTAAAATAACTAAAGAAAAACATAACAAAAATGTGAGATCTTAATGAGTGAAGAGAATGACAACAAAAAAGAAAGAAAAGAAAAAGTCAGGATCTGAAAATTACAATAAGTGAAACAAATTTTACATGATCAACACAGCAGATTAAAGATGATGAAATAAAGAGTAAATTTTATCACAAATTAATAGATACAAGAACAGATAGCAATAATAATAATAATAAAACAATAAGAAACTGGGTGTCAAAAATACATCAAGTGGTTCAAAAAAGACATAGTGTCTCTAAAACAAAGAGACAGAAATGAGTCGACAAATATTTGAAGAAATACTGGCCAAAATTTTCACAAATCTAATTAAAATTATTGAATTCTAGAGCCAGTAAACCAAATGAGTCCTAAAATGTATAAATTACAAGAACACACTGTCTAGCAACTTCATATACTAATTGCCCAGAGTCCAGTTTTCTTTTGACAGCAGCAAAAGAAAACTGATTTATTACATAATGAGTGAACAAAGGTATGATTAAAACCTAACTTCTCACTAGTGACAATGGAGGCCACCAAGTATTTAAAAGGCATAAATGAAAGGCTAAAAGACAAAAAAAAAAAAAAGAAGAAGTGATATCTCAATGGTCTAACATTTGTAAGAATCATTTTTGACCTATCTCATTTCTACCTATCATGTCAAGTTGCTTCAGAGACACAACAGACATTTTAGTTAACAAAATTTAACAAAAGAAGAAAAATACTGCTCCTTCTTTTCTGGAAATAAAAATTTACACATTACCATTTGAGGAATATAGATAATACTGTCCTGTATACTAGAAGAAAATTTCTAAAAGTGAAAGAAGAGAAACACTTTTATTAGTACAGCTGTCCTATTGCAATGTGACTATCAGAATAATTTATTTTATATTTGTTATATTAATATATCAACATTTTTTATATATTCACCTTAAAATAATTTGAGTTTAGCCACAATATCAAATCTGTAAAAACTGGATTGAGAAAATCATTTTCTGGGCTTGAGTGTAACTACTCTAATGGTTAAAGCCTAGAAAGAATTGTAGAAAACTAAATTTCATTTCTGCCTTCTTCTGCCATGAATGTGCAAGCATAGAGTGTTTACTTTTATAATGATAGTTTTGTATTATTCACCGAAAACAACTACCACTATGAGATATTTTTTCTGCTTATAAGGTAAAGAAGAATTATTATATAATGAGTTAAATAGCATTTTCATCTGCCATGTCTGTTAGCCTGAGCTGAAATAATCTAATCTATTAAGGTTTTTTGCTTCCTTTAAGAATAATTGTAATGGCATACACTTTAAGTGATATGTCCTATTAAAATTATCTCATTGAAAACATCAATGCACATTTATTCTTAAAAAAATGACAGCTGACAGGAATTCTGTACATATTAACTTTAGTCCTCCGCCCATCTTTTATTTTTCGTATGAGATGATAGCATTCTAAAGAATTAATAAAAAATATCATTTTCTTGACGTGGAGATTAATAGGATGTTAAAGCTTTAAGAGCATTCAATGGATTAGAAAGGGATTATCTGGTTTAAAGTCACAAGAGAAAGGAATACAATAAATTGCTGTTATACTTGGGAAATTTATTCATAAGTAGAAATTATGTGATATAACAGTTAGAGGAGTTATACAGTTCAATCTACTTTAGAAAAGATAAAACTACGCCAAAATGACTAACCCATGGGTAATAGCTATCAGCCATTATTGTCATGGTTTCCCAAGTCCTAGACAGGTATTATTTTTATATATTGTACTAAACATAAAATTTTAAAGGAAAGTCAAAATTGGGGCAACAGTCTTTGATAAATATTATAGCATATGATAATCATTTAAACAATTAAATCAAATGTAATAAGCCAACACTCCATTATCATGATTACATATAGAAAATGTTAAATACTCATTTTTTTCAATTAATTTACATGTTCCCCTATTTATAAAAATTTAAGAAAGATCTTAAGACGTATTCACACACATTAAGGTAACAGTACTATTCAGATTAGTGAATGTCAAAAAAATCTGTCTCAATTTTATAATTAGAAGGTTCAAGTCCAAAATTAATCAGCATTCAAGGGTAAGATATATTTCACCTTTCCCTCATGTAGATTGGCTTTCCTTTGCCCAGTACCCTTAGGTCCCCACTGGCTAGCTGTAAATGTGTGAGATGCAAGTGGAGGATATTGCCTGGTAGGCAGACTGGGTGAGAGGAATCTTTCTTGTCTGACTGTTGGCTTCAGGCTTACTGGGTCTGGAGATGGTGAAAATGTATGACGATTTGAAGGTGCTTGGGAGGTAACAACTGCAACCCTTTAGTTCTAATTTCTGTGAATGGGCAATCTACGTTGTGCTTCAGGTAATCTTTCAGGGTCCCTTCTTGGCATGAGTTTGTCTTTTACCACATGTAAACATTAGCTGAAGGAATCTCCTTGCCTTCTGGCAGTAACTGTTTATCAATATACTGAGAAGCTTTGGACCACTTTTTCTCTCACTTGTTCACTGCTGGCTCAGAGAATATTCATCAACTTCCTAGACCTGATTATCTTTGAAAGTAACCTCTTCTCCTGACAGACCTATTTTTATTCTGCCACATTTGCAAATTTGGAGAAAAGTCAGGCAATAGGCCATCTATTACCCCAATGCAGGGACATTGCCATCTCTCTGAATGACCATTAAAAAAAAAAAAACAAACTCTTCTGGTGAAATAGGTGTAATTTATCCCTCTTCTACCTCCTTGGGATTCAGTAAGGGTAAGGGAGGAATGAAGGCAGGACATTCTGAGTGGTGCAATTCTCTTAAAAAAAAAGTCTACATAATATACATAATTCTCTTCCCTTTACTATGATTCCTTTTAAATCTGTGATATGGCCCAAAGGTTCAAGAGATATGGAATTGATTTCTGGAAATGTCCTTTGTAAAATGGGACTGCACTAATCTGTATTTGCAATCTTATATCTATTATATAGACAGACATACACACACACACACATATGTATATTTAATTTATTTATGTTGCCCAGGCTGGAATGCAGTGATACAATCATGCATGGCTCACTGCAGCCTTGACCTCCCAACTCAGCTGATCTTCCCACTACAGACTCTCAAGTAGCTGAGACTACAGACGCATGCCACCATGACCAGCTAATTAAAAAAAAAATGTACATGTGGGGTCCCTGCCCGGGCTTAAACTCCTGGACTCAAGCAATTATCCTGCCTCAGTCTCCCAAAGTGCTGGGATTACGGGCATACCACACCTGGCTTCTATTTTATTTTTGTGTCTTGACTAAAATTTCAATTTTAACATCATTTAGAAATATTGAAATACTAAAGTGAGCATATTTCATTATCTTACAAATTTAAATTATTTTTATTTGTTCAGATTTCTAACTGTGAAAGGGTCTCAATACACATTTAGAATTATTTTCCACCAAACTTAAACTTTCACTCCTACTATCAGTGTATGAAAATACTCCTAGGTGAAATACAGCATTTGATTAGAATTGAATGTTAAATTTTTTATTCACTGATAATGTTATAAAATTTGTGGGATAATTTGTTTTTTCACTTCTGTTAGGCTTCAAGTAAATTATTTTAAAATTATTGGTGCCATAATTTATAATCACTTTATCCCTAAAAGTCTTTTTAAACATTTTTAAATTTATTTTAATGATACATAAATGTAATATCTTCAGAGTACATGTGATATCTTGATACATTTATATAACGTGTAATAATCAAAGGTAATTGGATTATCCATTATCTTAAGCATGTTTCATTTTTTATGCTGAGAACATCTGATTATTCTCTACTGGGTGTTTTGAAATATACAATAGATTATTGTTTATCGTTGTCACTTTACTGATTTGTAAAACACTAGGTTTTATGTCTTCTATCTATCTGTATTTTTAAACCCATTAATCAAATTCCGTTCATCCCTACTCACTCTTCCTGACCTCTGACAACAAGCAATCTACTCTCTACCTTCAGGAGATCCACTTTTTCAGCTTTCATGTCTGAGTGAAAACATACAATATTTGCCTTTCTGTGCTTTGCTTATTTCACTTAAAATAATCCCCTGCAGTTCCATCCATGTTGCTGCAAATGACAAGACCTCGTTTTTTTATGGTTGAATAATACTTACTGTGTATATAGACTGCATTTTCTTTATCCGTTTATTTGTTGATGGGCAGTTAGGTGATTCAAAATTTTGGCTATTGTGAATAATGCTGTAATAAAAGTGGAAGTACAGATATCTCTCTGATATAGTAATTTCCTTTCTTTGGTGTATATATCCAGTAGTGAAACTACTTAAGCATATGGTAGTTCTATTTTTAGTTTTCTGAGGAATCTTCCTGTTGTTTTCCATAGTGGTTGTACTAATTTACATTTCCACTAACAATGTACAAGGCTTCCCCTTTCTCCACATTCTTGCTAGCATCCTTATTCCCTGTCTTTGTGAGAAAAGCCATTTTAACTGGAGTGAGATGGTATCTCACTGTACTTTCGATTTGTGTTTCTCTGATAATTAGTGATGCTGAGCATTTTTTCATATATCTGTTGACTATATGTCTTCTTTTGAGAAATGATTATTCTGATATTTACCAGTTTTTTAATCTTACGTTTCTCGCTACTGAACTGTTGGTGTTATGGATATGTGTGTGTATATATATATATATTTTTAATTAATCCCTTGTCAGATGAATAGTTTATAAATATTTTCTCCCATTTTGTAGTTTAACTCTTCACTTTGTTGTTTCCTTTGCTATGCAGAAGACTTTTGGCTTCATAAAATCTTATTTGTCTATTTTTCCTTTTGTTGTCTGTGACTGTGAGTTCTTAGTCAAAAATATCTTTGCTGAGACAGGTGTCCTTAAGCATTTCCCTAATGTTTTCTCATAGCAGTTCATAGAATCAAATGTTAAATTTAAGTCTTCAATCCATTTTGATTTGATTTTTGTAGGTAATGAGAGATAAACACCCAGTTTCATTTTTTGCATGTAGATATCAAGTTTTCCACTTGTCTTTTTGTCTTCTCCTGAACACTCCAAAATTTTCTAAACTCTGCACATTACCCAGTTCCAGAGCCACTTTCACATTTGTAGGTATCTTTATAGCAATGCCCTGCTACTCAGTCCCAATTTCCTGTCTTAGTCAATTTGTGTTACTATAAAGAAATACTCTAGGGTGAAAAATGTATAATGAAAAGAGGTTTATTTGGCTCCCAGTTCTTCAGGCTGTAGAAGAAGAATAGCATCAGCATCTGCTTCTGGTGAATGCCTCCAGCTGTTTCCACTAATGATGGAGGGGAAAAGGTAGCTGGTGGGTACAGAGATCACATGGCAAGAGAAGAAATGAGAGATAAAGGGGAGACTCCAGGCTCTTTTTTAAAAAAGCTCTCTCAGGAACTAATAATGTGAGAAATATCTCAAACTCTCACCCCTCAGGAAGGGATTAATCTGTTTATAAGGGATTTGCCTCCATTACCCAAACATCTCTCTTTAGGCTCCACCTTCAACATTGGGTGATCTCAATTCAATTCGATGTTAAAAGGGTAAAAAATCCAAACTATAGCAAGAATGTTCCATTTGCTGATAAAAAAAATTGTATATTCTGTAGCAGTTGGGTGAAATATTCTGTACATGTCAGGTTGAACTATTTAGTCTGGTGCTTAGCTTAACTTTAATGTTTCTTTAATTTTCTGTCTGGGTTACCTGCCATTACTAAGAGTAGGGTGTTGAAGTCCTCTGCTATTATTATATTGCATCTCTCTTTCTAGATGTATTAATGTTCCTGTTATATACATGGGTATTGCAGTGTTGAGTGCATAGATATTTATAATGTAATATTTCCTTGTTTAATTGACCCTTTTATCATTTTCTAGTGTCTTTTTTTGTTTTACAGTTTTTGACATGTAAAATATTTTATCAGATATAAGTATCACTACTTTGGTCTTGTTTAATTTTTATTTCCATAGAATATCTTTCTCTACTGCATCACTTTTTGTGTATCTTTATAGGTGAAGTGTTTTTTTTGTTGTTGTCGTTGTTGTTGTTGGTTTTGTTTGTTTGTTTGTTTCCCTGAGATGGAGTCTTACTCTGTTCCCCAGGCTGGAGTGCAGTGGTGCGATCTTGGCTTATTGCATCCACCACCTCCCAGGTTCAAGCAATTCTCCTGCCTAAGCCTCTAGAGTAGCTGGGACTACAGGCATGCACCACCATACCCAGCTAATATTTGTATTTTTAGTAGAGATGGGGTATCACCATATTGGCCAGGCTGGTCTCGAACTCCTGACCTTGTGATCTGCCTGCCCCTGCCTCCCAAAGTGCTGGGATTACAGGTATAAACCACCATGCCCAGCTGAAGAGGTTTTCTTATTTGCAGCATTTACTTGGATCTTGTTTCATTTATCCTCTCTGTATCTTTTTATGGGAGAATTGAGACTATTTACATCCAATGCTATTATTAATAGGTAAGAACTTACTACTGCCATTTTGTTACTTGTTTTCTCGTCATTTGATATATCCTCTGTTCTTTTCTTATTAAAGTGAAAACTAAATTAACCACTCTCCTTTTTATTACTACCTTCCTTTGTTGTTAAGTAATTTTCTCTGTTGGTATGCTTTAATTCATTGATTTTAATTTTTATTGTATTTATTATAGGTTTTCACTTTGTAGTTAACTTGAGACTTACAAAAATCATCTGATAGTTACAATAAGTTATTTTAAACAGATGACAACTTTTCTTTCATTGTAAAGAAAAAAAAAACAGAAACAGAGGAAAAGCTTTAAAACTCTATACTTTAACTCCATGCCACCATATTTTGACTTTCTGTTGTCCCAGTTTACATGTTTTTATATTTGTTATCCCTTAATATGTTACTGTAGCTATTATTGTTTTTGGTAGATTTGTCTTTTAGTCTTCAGGGTAGAGTTGTGTGTGGAATGCATAGCACAATTACAGGGTTAGAGTATTCTAAGTTGTGTACTTACTTTTCCAGAGTTTTATACTTTCAAATGGTTTCTTTTTGCATGTTAGTAGTTTTTTCTTTCATATTGAAGAAACTTCCCTTAGCATTTCTTGTAAGACAGGTCTGATGGTAATGAATTCCCTCATCTATTGTTTGGGAAAGACTATTTCTTCCTCATCTTTAAAGGAAAGCTTTATTAGATACAAAATTCTTGGTTTA